>NC_000023.11:80038299-80341329 GCF_000001405.40 Homo sapiens | reverse complement strand
AAGCCAGCTTTTCCGTAAGATGTATGCTAATTTAACTCCTTTCTGAATCATCATTTGCAATATATAAAATCTTTTAACATATAAAATAGTATTTCTTTTATTTACAGTAAAATAGCTATTTCTACCCTGTGTCTCAGTAATCCCACTTCTGGTAAATACTTCAGAGAATTTTTGCAAATGTGCATAGTCACAAATGAATGATTCCAAATGCCCTGTTCTTTCCACTGCCTCCAAAGTGAAAATTTTTACAATGACTTCAAAGTATTGGATTCATATTTTACCAACTTTAGAAAACTGGTTCAAAAGCTAGGAATGATGTTGTTATTTTGCTCTTGCTGTGGCTAATCCTGAAAAAGAGTGGGTGTTTTGCTCTTGCTGTGGCTAATCCTGAAAAAGAGTGGGCTGAAAGATATTTCTGTTGCTATTGTCATCATTTGTCTGTTGGTTTAATGTAAAGACAGCATTAGATAATTCTATAGCTAGATAAATGGTTATCTGGGGGTGATTCTGTCCTTCAAAGGATATTTGGCAATGTCTGGAGACATTTTGGGCTGTCAAAACTTGGGAAAGAAGGTGCTATTGGCATTTGGGCAGTAGAGGTCAGAGATGCTGCTAAGTATTACACTACACAGGACAGTCTCCTCAAAACATTGTACAGACCGAAATGTCTACAGTTCTGCTTGAGAAACTATGATCTAGAGGTGAGAATTTTGGTACATACTATTGCAAATTTTAGAAAAAATATTCAAAAATCATAGAATGTGGGTAATAAAACAAAGAGAAATTGAGAAATTTACAAAGCATGCTACACTCTGTTCCAACCAATTACCAGGTAAAGTAGTAACAACCATGACTTTGACAGATTTTGGATTAGAGACTCGAGAATCAATCTAGAATGAAGAGTAGTAAGAAAGTAACAGTAAATAAAAGCCATATCTAGAATTAAATGTGTAGGTTCTATGGTCAGTAAAATGGGATACAGGAGTCCAGAGTAGTATAGTCCTTTAAGAGAGCCTTTTTTGTTTTGCTTTGTTTTTAACCTTGCCCTCACCTGCCCTTCTGATAAGTCTGTTCTTTTTGCTTTTTCTTCCCTTAAGAGTTTTTTTTCAAACAGCTCTTGGATAGTAAAATCATAGAGATAAGGAAAATGTTTATTAAAAATGAGTTTTCTGAGCACTATGCTTACATTGAAGAATTTTTGAATCCTACAATTCTCAAACCTAATTTGGAATTATCCCTAAAGTATCTGTAATAATAGCAAATGTTTTATTATTTCCTACCATATCATCTTTTAATAATCAATCAACTCAAGTAATAATAAAACTTCATTTTTATTATTCAAGTTTTGAAAAGGTTTCCTGTCAAAGAGAAATTATATGTCTTGGATATTCTGTTAAAATCAAAGATTTTTAGAGAAACAATCTTTTTGATAACTCTCTCTCTCTCTCTCTCTCTCTATATATATATATATATTTCCGATAACTATCTATTATAATCACCAAACGTGATATTTGTTATTAAAATAAAGATCAAATATTAGCACTTTGAGAAATAGTAAACATGTAGATTTATTTTTTCTAATTTTCCAAGACTTTTTTTTTCATTTTATTCTATTCATTTAAATCCTACATTCAGCTTCTCATCTTGTCTCCTTATGTTTATTTGTCACTTCCAAATTATGAATTGGATAGTTTTTCAGGTCACCTGTGACCACCACTAAAACCCACTTCTCTTGTCTTTAAGCTTCTGTTCCCTACAATATCATCTATTTGCTTCTCTTAATAGTGCTTTACCTCTTCTGTAGCTCTAATCTTTTTACTTGTCACTTGAAGAGTTCTAGGCTAGTCTAATGTTCAAATTAAACCTAAAACACCAGAACTATGAAACCAGCAAAGTGTACTCTGCTTGCCCAGGGGGAAAAAACAGTTTTTCTATTATAAGTAGGAAAGACCCTCAGTTTCGACCTCTCTCAAATTTTTAGGAAACTGAGTCTATTTCTTCATATACAAACTAGAAAGATTTCCAGTCAGCTAGAATAAGTCCTCATTTTACTCTTATACTAAATGGGCACCTGAGCTATAGAAACCAAGCAACAGAAGTGGTCTTATTTGTGATTCTGCTTTGCCTATCTGCTACACACATTCAAAAGTACTGCACTGGGAATCAAGAAGACCTAGGTTGAATACCTAGGCAAACCAAATAATCTCTCTGAGCTTCTGTTTTTGTTGTTGTTGCTGTGTTTGTTTTGGAATTTTTTTGTTGTTTTTCTAATTGGTTAAAAATAAAGGATAATACCTGGCCAGATTACCTCAGATTACCTTAGGTATCAAATGAAATGATGTATATGAGACATTCTGTAAACTATTAAGTTTCAGCCCAGTTAAGCTATTTTATGCAATAAATGATTTGTATAATTCTATAGTACTTATTTCCATTATGCAAACAGAAGCAAAACACAGATTCCTGGATCTCACTGCAAATTTACTCTATCAGAATCTGCAGAAGTGAGGCCCAGTAATCTGCATTTTTAAAAAGGACATCAAAGTTTGAGAAATATGACACTATGCTCTCTTCATTTCTAGTGAACTCTTTTTACTTCAATGGGAGTTTGTCAAGTACCATTTAATTTTCTGATCATCTTAAAATCATTTGTTAGAAGACAACAAAAAATGTGTTAACACAAAACAATCATAATATTAAAAATTAAGTGGCTTAGAATCTTGACTGGAATTGTTTCATAAATGTTTTTAACTTAAACAAAGTTTGTTCTCTGTAATACACTGGGTTCAAAACATTTAGAGAACTAAGCATAATTAATCATAAAAAAATTACTCAATTTACAGAGGAATTACAATTTTCCACATTAGTTTTGCTCATGTCAAATTTTAACATGTTCAATAGCTGCTGAGTTAAGATACTGTATTGGTTCTTTACATCTCAATTATCCCAGTCAAATTCACACCTTCTAAGTATCCGCCATATCTGATTTATCAATATGTGACTGATGTTACTTTAGCTAAGCTTTCATAAGTAGAGTTAATTAGGTCCCCAAAGAACAATTTGGAAGATCCTACATCTATTGTCTCTACTATTGTAGCCCTGTTCTAACGGTGAAAGGAGAAAAAGGTAGCAACCTATTTAGGTGAAACAGGGTAGAAGGTATTACTAAATCTGGTAGACAGGAAGAAGCAAAGCCAAGATGTAAGATGATCCAAAACAAAAAATCTGAATAAATATAATAAAGAATGAATAATTGTGCCTACAGTGAAAGAGGAAAATTATCACGCCTGTAATCCTAGCACTTTGGGAGGCCGACGCAGGTGGATTGCCTGAGCTCAGGAGTTTGAGACTAGCCTGGGCAACACGGTGAAACCCCGTCTCTACTAAAATACAAAAAATTAGCCGGGTGTGGCGGCGTGGGCCTGTAGTCCCAGCTACTCGGGAGGCTGAGGCAGGAGAATCTCTTGAACCCAGGAAGCAGAAGTTGCAGCGAGCCAAGATTGCACTGCACTCCAGCCTGGGCAACAGAGCGAGACTCCAACTCCAAAAAAAAAAAGGAAAATTATATTTTTAAAGATAACATTTGGATTTTTAAAAGTTAACCTTAATCATTACTATGATAAAATAAGCATATCCAGATTTCATCCTAACATATTTACTGGAAACGACCCAAATGTCCATCACCAGAACAGATAAATTACAATATATTCATATGGTGGAAAACTCTAGAACAGTGAAAATGAATAAGCGAGCCATACCTATGCACAATAACCTGGTTGAGGAACATTATGAGTTACAAAAATCACAGAAGAAGAAAAGCAGTATCATTTCATGTATACAAAATTAAAAAATAGGCATCACTAAAGGATATGCTGGTTAAAGATGCAAATACTATAGCACAACTATAAAACAGAAAAATTATACATAAATTCAAGACAGCAGCTGCCTCTAAAAATGAAGAAAATAAATGTGATTAGAAAGGAGTATACAAGGGAACTTAAAGGGTATAATATCCTTTTGCTTAAATTGGGTGATAGTTCACAAGTATATATTTGTAATATTGCTTTTATTTTGCACACACATTTTATAAATATTTTATAGGTATTCAATATTTAATATACAACTAAAATGTTATATTTTCTTTCCTTTTTATATTTTCTCTATAATAAAAAGTTTTACTTTAACAGATTTGTTCGTTGCTTTTAACAACACCAGTTATAAATGAATGAATACACATGTACTTTAAATAAATAATGCTATTTCTGTGCCTAAGTGTTAAGAAAAATATAAACCTCGCTTTAAGAAATCAGATATCTAAGAAAAAACAAGAGGGAAATTTTTGGAGTCAAATTTAGTTTGGAACTCACAAAAACAAAAACCACTTCTTAATTTTCTAAATGGTCAGCACAGGCTACGATTCGTCTTTTACTTAAGGCGGACATCAACAACAAATACCCTAACAACAAATATCTTCAGATTTTAATTTTACTAAAAAACTGATCCTATCCTAAAGACCTTTTCCTTAAGAAATTCCACAAAACATTTTCAAAACACTTTTTAAAAAAGGCTTATTCTTATAGCTTAGCTACATATAAGTCTAGGAACTTTATATGAAACTTGAAAATGCTTTAGCTTTAGTGGATTGTTCTGGTCTATATATGGATTTTTTTGAAATAGCTGTGTTAAAAAAATACTAAGAGTCCAGGGAAAATCTTTTTTTTTAATGTTTTTTATCTTTATACCAAAAGAAGTTCTCCAACAGCGAAATACAACTGTTTATCTAGTATAGAAACTGATCAAACAGTGATGAAATCTACTAAGTTTTATCTGTTTCTGTAAAGTCTTAATTCTCAAATATATAGGGACATCAAAAATAAAGCAATCTTTATACAGTTTCACCTACTGAAGTGGTTTCCAGGCTGTACTTTCCTAGAACCTTGTATTTTAAAAGGTTTGTTTTTCCAGCATCGAAGGTTTGTAGTTAGGGTAACAGTCTGAAGCCTACCACCAATTACATTAACACTAAAGAGTAAAACAGTAGTTTTTAGATCCATCTTTCTTTCAAAAAGAAACAAAGATAAAAAGAAACTTATCCAATTAGATGCTTATTTCCCCTATATATTGAAACACTAAAGATGGGAAAAAAATTCGTCAAACTTGTTAAATTCCTTAGTAAGAGAATATACTAATTGTTTTCCCCAAAGCAAAATCTCAGTTCTTCCTTGGAATTTCCAAGGGTTTTGAATTGAAACGAATCGACAATTCCCAGGATGCCCTTCCTTTCCATAAATCCATAGTGTCTAATAACTTTGGAACATTTTCATGTCACATATAAAACGCCAACTACTATCTAGTATTTCACTTAACCTCCTTGCACATTATAGACTTTGTAGTAATTTTCGTATCTTATATATATATTGAAAAAAAAAGTTAGTGCGAATACATATTTCACATAAACTTTACCTATTAAGTCTAGCCTACAACTTTAAGGATCACGAAGCTTTTTAACGCCATAAGTGAACTTCACACCTCAAATTTACCAGCCGCGCTATCCCTTAGACCCTTATTTTATACGACTATAATTTTTTGAAAAATACGTTAAAAGCCCTATACCTTTTTCCTTCATCCGTTAAGGCTTAAACTCTGAGACAATGGTGAGGGGCCAAGGACAGAGTGAAATCTGAGGAAAGAGGTGGGGCGGAAGGTTAAGAAGACTTTGGAGTAGGACAAAAGAAAGAACTAGAAGGTTGGCTGGGTGACGAAACCTTTAGGTGCCAGGTTAGACTGGGTGCAGGCGAAGGACCCAAGGTGGGAGCTGGGGCGCGTAACCTCTTGCCCTCCAGCCCCCCAACGCCCCCAAGCGACTGGAACCCGTTCTAATCGCCGCTCCCCGCGGCAGCCATTTTGGAGTTGCACCAGCCCCGCCCCTCGGAGGCACCCGGCCCCGCCCCCTCGGTCCAGGAGCAGAAACAGGAAATGGGATTGCAAACCTAGTAGCTGCGCGTGCCGGCTATTCAGGACTAGCGCAGGACTCTGGGCGACCTCACATCCCACTCGTGCTGCTGCCCCGGGCACTCGCCTCCCGCGAAAAGTCGTGGGACCACGTCGAATATGGGGAGTATCCTTTCCTGTTTGAAAAGCTGCTCTTAGGGCATAGGGAAAGGTGGGGAGGGCAGAGGTTGGGACCCTGGGAGGTGCCTGGTAGTGACCTTTTTGGTCTAGCTGTGGAGGGCTGAGAGCGCTGGCACCGATTGGTGGGCTCCAGCAGCTTGGTTTTAGTTTTTCTGTTTTTTGTTTTTTTTTTTCCTGGGACTCGCTGCCATCCTAGAATCAGGGGAGGTGGGACTGCTTTAAAGAATGGTCAGGGGAGTCGCCGCACTGGTTTGAGATTTAGAGCGCGAGCCCTCCCACTCTGAGAGCTTCTGTCACCTGTCCTTTAGTGAATTCGTCCTCTTTGAAATTGTTGGGAAACTGTGCGAGAACAGAGGCAAGGCAACAGGAGTTTGCCAGAGGTTTAGGGTGTAGGTGTAGGTTTTGAGTGCAGTACTAGGGCAGATAGCTTTTGTTGAACTTCACTTCTTTTCCTGGGTGGAGGTGACCGGTAAGGAGGTAAAGTGCTTAACACCAAGCCTCCAAACTAAGATGATTGCTTGCTTAATAATAGGATTTAACACATGAGGAAACTCATATAGTTCCCTAAAGCTATAAAATTCATCAATTGCACCTGTGTTCCCACTTAAGAAATGAGGTCAGAGTTTAGAACCAAGCTGTCTAAAGCCCTGAATTAAAGGATGAAATTGTTTTTCACAACGGAAATGTTGTAATTCCTCTTCTTCAAGGAGTTGGTATTATGGAAAATAGAATAGCTTGGTATACTGCCACTGAATGAAACTTGGCAAAATAATAAAATGTGAGTAATAGTAGTTGTTTGATAGCTCATGTTAAAGCTCTTTTAGCTTCATTCGTTTGTAAGCCTACAACATAGAAAGACATTTGGTGAAAGAATTATGTAAGCCATACTGAGAATATTGTTAACATTATATCATGTGCCGGACTGGCCGAGAATAAAATATGAACCCTTGATGGGCACCGATAGGTCATTTCATCAACATAGTAGATGACTAAAAGGTCTACTTATCACTACAGTTTAAAGGATAATAAAGAAAGTGTAGTTGTATTAGCATAATAAAGGGAAGAGCACTGGAATATGAGTCAAATCAATTTCTAATCCCAGTTTATCTTAAGCCTGTGAGTTAGGACAGGTCATATAGCCTCCTGCAAAGCTTACTCATCTGTAATGCATAACTGACCTGCCAACCTTATAAAGCTGTTGTGAAGATGAAATGGAAGTGCTTATTAAATTGTAAAGTTTTGAACATGCTTTTAAGTATGAGGAAATAAATTACAAATCGTATCCCTTTTCCCAGAACCTTTAGAAGTATTTGAGGTAATAGCTCTAAATGAGTTTTTGTTTCCTACTCTAATCAAGTTATTTTTGGTCTAAATCTACCTCATGTAATTTCTGGTAACAAGATAACTACTATACTGACCAATTTTCTTTAACTGAAAGGAATGCCTGACTGTAATCAAAGTTAATGGTACTGTTATCAATAGTTTAATACCCAACAAAAGTGAACGATTAACTTCCCTTCAGTCTACCAAAAAAAAAAAAAAAAAAAGGAGCTTTAACTTGACTCACACCATCTGGCTGTGATTAAGTCTCTTGGTTCATTTATGTGGAATATGTTCAGTCCAGACCTTTTTCTTGGAGTATAGAACAGGAGAATGACATATGGACTCAGAGCCCTCTTCCATAAATAAGTTGAGCTCTATCTTGAGTAACACTTGTCACCTTTATAAATGCAAAAATCCCTTTGTTATAGTATATAAGAAGACTGTGCTGACACAATTCGATTAGCATGATCATTTTGACTTCTGTCTTTGGAGCAATATTTGCACAAGGTGTTTAGGGACTAGGGTTAGATTAACTATAGGGATGAAACAATAGTAAAAAAATAAGGGATACTTTTCTGGTCCAAGCTTTCTCTCTCTGACACGCACGCGGTCGCTCTCTCTTGCTCGCTTTCTCTCTTTTTGCTTCTCTACAGTTTTACCTCTCTTCTGGGTAACTCATAACTCATTTTGTTGTTGTTGGACTTAGCTCAAGCGTGCTTCATTTACAGGAGGTTTTCCATCTTCCTAATCTTCTAACCTACCATCCCCTCCAAAACTAGGAATATGAGAGTATCAGTTCCCACCAGTTTCTATGCTGTCCTCTTTTCCCCATGTTTTACCATCTGTAGCCTCCCCAAGCCTCCCATTGTAATCATATGTTTACTTATTTATCTCTTTCATTAGACTGTGAGTTGTTGAAGGATGGCTTTTATATTTATAATCTTTGAATCCTCATTTCCTTAAACAGCACTGGGCCATAGTGGGCACAAAATAAGTTACCTTCTATTAAGATTTAATTATTAGCATATATTTGAATCTCTACCATGGGCTAAACAATGCACCTAGGCTATGGATACATAGAGGGTTATAAGATCCATCCCCAACTTTGAGCAGCTTTTGATCTAGTGAAGCCAGGACACACATGGGTGGGAATAAATAACAATACAAGGAAGCGCATATTAACTGAGATGAATGATAGAACAGCATTTTTTTTAAAAAAATTATCTTTTAAATTCTGGGATACATGTGCAGAACGTGCAGGTTTGTTACATAGGTATACATGTGCCATGGTGGTTTGCTGCACCCATCAACCCGTCATCTACATTAGGTATTTCTCCTAATGCTATCCCTCCTCTTGCCCCCCACCCCCTGACAGGCCCCAGTATGTGATGTTCCTCTCCCTGTGCCCATATGTTCTCATTGTAGAACAGCAATTCTTGATCCCACTGTGGACTTGCTAAACTCTTTGAAATTGTGTGCAAAATTTTGTATGGTAGCATATGCATTTTCTTGGGAAGACTGTCTACAGCTGTCATCTTTCTCTAAGAGATTCTAACCTGAAAAAGGTTAAGAACCAACAAAGTAGGTAATAAGTACTGTACATATTCTGAAAGTAGAGAGATGGATGTTCTAGATTGGTATTGTCTCCTTCCATAGTCACCCAGACAGCTCAGACTGTGTTATAGGCAAAGATTGCCAGCTACCTTAAAAATGTTACCCATTTTGAATCTTCTGAATCTCTCTAAATCCTAAAGCAGAACTAATTACTCTTAGTCTCTGAGGCTTTGATAGTGCTGAAAAATGGTATTTTGACTAAGATATTAATATTTCAAATTTGCTTTTAAAATTTACTTGACAGTAGCCCTATAATTTATGGCCTGACTAGTCAGTAAAATGTTTTATAATAAGTATTAAATATAATGATTATTTATGGTTCATCATTTGACTCCATTTGAGGGCCAATTCTGAGCAATTCTCTATGAAAGTTAAAATGCAAAGAGGGAAATAAGAGTTGAGCTGGACTCGAATTCCTCCTTGTTCTTATATTCAGCAATTTTTTCTCAGTTATTCATCTCTGGAATTCAGTTTTCACATCAGTAAAATGAGGAGGTTGACAAATTATCTGTAAAGTTCCTTTCAATTCTGATAATCTTCCTGTGATTCTGTGATCCCAAACTCTACTTCCCCTAAATATACAAAGAATGCTTAAGATGCTGTGAGCTTAAAAGGAGGAAAGTTGGATGCAAAATGCCACTTGTTGTCAAATGCATGAATAAAAATCTATAGTATTGGTACCGCTGCCTTATTCTAGGGCAGCTGCTAGTGGAACATTTTTATTTTCTTTCTCTTACCTGCTTTTTATCCAACTTCTGTGTACCCAGGAGATTGCATCATCCTGCTTTTGACACTTGGAATAAAATAGCTTCTGCCATGCTGTGTTTGGATAACTTATTTTCACTTGGTGTTTTTCCATCCATTTCAGAGAGGCAGAGGGGACATATTTCTACTATGAATTTCTATGGTAAACTGAGTATAACAATTTTTATTCAGGAAAATAGTTGCATTCAATTCTAAAAGCAAGGCTTCCTTCTATATGTACAATAAATATGTTGAAACCTAATGATTCTTATTTAGATTTCAAAGCAATGATCTAAGACATAGCTGATTTCCACACTTTCTCTATCAACAGTGTAACTACAAATAAAAGAAATTATATTAATGTTTTAAAGAGACATTCAGACTTTTTATTATTATCCAATTAATGTAGGTGACTTAGCAAAGTCACAAGGAGGTAATTACAATAGCTCTCATTTATTGAACTACTATGTGCCAAATTTTGTGCTGAGGATTTTGTGTACATTATCTATGATCCTCAAAGCAGCACTGGGAGACAAATGATATTATCTCCATTTTATAGAAGAGGAAATTAAAGCTATGAAAGCCACAGGGCTTGTAAGCATAGAGTAAACGACCTAGGCTGGGCTCTGAAGTCTCTTCATTTTCTGCAGTGCCTCTAGAACTTACAGCACAATTAAGTCATGTTTGATGGAGTCCTATGGGTTATGCAGAGCTACTTTTTCTATATATTGATAGTCTACTTGGGGTTTTGCTTTAAAAGGAGTTTGAAAAAGATGTGAATCTACACAATCACTTTATGGGAAAGGCTAGCCTAGATTCTCTTGAAGACAAGTCTGTTTCATATATATTCTCATTTAAAAGGTACATTTGTATGATGTAATATTTTAAATTTTGATTTTGTAAAATTGGAAGGAAGGGAATTAATACTTTTTGAAAATTTGAAATCTAAATGTTCAGCTATTTATTGATTTCCTTATTTATCAATCTCAAGGTCCAAGTGAGGTAGTTTTTTGCTTTTGCATGGATATTGGGATGAGGAAAGAAACCTGATGCCATTAGTGGAGACCTTTGAAATCAGTTTCTCAGAGTCAGGGTTATGTTTTATATTAACTGAAAAGCAAGCATAATGGTATGTGCTAAACCTCACAGGGGCTGAATAAATCTAACCCAAGGAAGTGAATACCTCCAGTTAAGAATCCTACTACCTAGATCAGGTATTGAAAATATAGTGACTGTGAACGAGAGGACTGGGTTACTGCCCTAGTTCTGTCTCTAGCTATGTGAGCTCTCTGGCCCACCTGTCATTATAAATCAGAACTTACTGACTTATTTTTTTCCAAAATCTACCATCTTTAATTATTTCTTAGACCTTCATATTAACAACAGAGAGAGAGAGAGAGAGAGAGAGAAAGAGAGAGGGCTACAAGACATAGGTATACAAACAGTAGAAGTGACAATTGACAGCCTGACATCAAAGGAGGAAACATAAAACTATCAATTACATCAAATAACAGTTATTAACAACTATCAGATGGATTCTGAGTGATTAGGAAAATATGTACCATTTTGTATATTACTCAAAGGATGCATAAATCATTTTTAAGGTATTCCCAGTTTTTAAAAAAAGAAGTTTAGGCATTTAAAATTGAACCTGAACCACAGCTTAAAATGTCTTTATGTGAAACACCATAATACTTGAGAATATTGGTTAAGTAAGGTATTAAAGCATTAACGTTGGCAGCAGTGGCAGAAATAGGAATAATAATCCACTGAGTCATGGGGAAAATTACTTTTGAGATAGAGGAATTCATTTTGCAACAAAGGATGCCCAAAGCACCACTGCCAAATACATTCATATATGTATATGTAGCCCAGTTGGCTTATGACACCAGCATTTCTCTGATGATGAATGTTCTGTGGTAAGCCAGAAATGAGAACATCCCTAGGTCTAAATCCTGCTTGTAACTATTGGGTAGTTTCTAAAACCAGGATATGAGATTCCCTTAAATTCAAGTGTCTGCTGTTCAAATAACTATCCTCTATGTATACTACAATAAGTGAGGATTCTCTATGTTGCAGTGGAGAAAATAGACTGCTGATGTGGAAAATAATAGCATCAATTCAGCTACTGAATTGAGTTATGAACCAGATTTGAAATACTGTGCAATATTTTGGCCTGTGATGAGGTTTCATGATCAAGTCAAAATGGGAAAAATTAAAAAGGGTAATCTATTTTGCAAAGCTAAATGTACTCAGTTTTAAGAGCTACCCTTTCTTCTGAGACTCTCCTTCCTACATTTTTGGTGCTGATATATTTGTACTTTTAATTATATCAGTTCATGAAGTAAAAATGTTGCAGAACATCTATGACATTAGTTTTCTAACTCTTTCAGCAGCAGAGCCCTTTTATTCCGAATGAAATTGTATGTGGAATCCTAATATGTAACACAAATAAACAGCATTCTTTTGGTATAAATTTGTTTTGTAAATTTAAATGTATAACTGAGTCTTCTTCCCCAGCATCAGTGGTGCTTTTTTCTCCACAACTCATATAACACTGCAAGAACACTTTTCTACTATTCCTTTACTTAAAGATATCGAATACTTCACTTCTGTTGAGCATTATACTAGGCTGATGATACAATGATGATTAGGACTCATCCTTATTACCAGGATACCCATAGTCTAGTTGAAGAATTAGACATGTAAACAGAGTTATAGTAAAGTACATAAAAGTATATAATGTTATATGCAAAATAACAGGAATTTCAAAGTAAGTAGCTACTGACATTGTATAAACTTCAAATTTGTATTTCTAACAGTATACTTAAAGTTTAGGAAAAGAATATGTGAAAACAGAGCCCTGAAAAGCTGCTACTTTATATTAAATTTATATCAAGCACAAACATGTTCAGTAATAATATTGTTAGACATTCTTGACAGTGTTGTCCATATTCTAGCAGTGATTTACTTTCAATTTTTTTACTTTACCGTAGTGTGAAAGTGATATGCAATTTAGTAGACACCATATTTTGAGTACCCGTACAACCATTATTTCAATCATTCTTTATATAATGTGTAATTTATTGAATACTGTATAGTATATTTAATTATGTAATTTATTGAATACTGTACAGTATATTTAAACAAGTATTCACTAAATTACAGTATTCCAGAAATTACATGAGATATTCAGCACTTTATTACATAATTGGCTTTGTGTTAGATGATCTTTGCCCAACTGCAGGCTAATGTAAGTATTCTGAGCACATTTGAAGGCTAGGCTAAGCTACAATGTTCAGTAGGTTAGGTGCTAAATGGATTTTCAACTTAGGATATTTTTAACTTACAGTGGGCTTATCCAAACATAACCTCATTGTAAGTTGAGGAACATCTGTTTATATTTAATATGAGCTTTTTTTTTTCTTTTAATTTTCAAACAACCCTCCTTTTTAAAATGAAGATACAATCTCATGGAACAAGGACCATAAGCTCTTAATCTAACCTTTTATTTGAATAATTTAAAAAAATTATGTAATTTTAATCTTTATCTCCCTAAAAACCACAAGAAATAAAACAAACACAGTTACCTACCACTAGGCTTAAGAAATAAAATATTACCAACTCACCTTCCTTCTCCCACCAAAGGTACCACTATCTAAACATTGATGTTTATGATTTCCATGTGTTTATGTTTTACCACATGTACATTCCTAAGATATAGCTATATATTAGATGTTTCCAAATTTTATGTGTGGAATTATATTGCTATTTTCTTTTTTAATCAAAATGATATTTGGGATTCATTCATGATATTCATTTTCACTTCTATATAGTTTTTCATTGTAGAAATATACTACAATTTATCCATTCTTTTTGTAACATGAAGAGAATTTGCATATCAATTAGTAAATTATTGAATAATGGTTAGATAGTAGATTTGTCTGGTATCTCTTATTTCAGATTTGCTTTATGGCCCAATACATGATGAGTTTTCATATACTTGAGGAAGATGTGTATTCTCAAATTATTGGGGCATAACTAGCCATAATTCTCTGTATAATTATTAAAGTCTGCTTCTTAATAGGGTCTTTCATACTTCTATCTCCTTATGTAGCTTTGTTAGATAACTGAAAAGGTTTTATTGGTATCTCCCAAGACTTGTTAATTTCTGTCGGTTTAAAATATGCATACACAAAGACATTTTGAAGCTATGCTAGGAGTACATGGAAATCTATAATTATTTCATCAATTCATGAGTGTACTTTTTATCATTTTATAGTGACCCCTCTTAAAAAATTATAATACTGCTTTATGTAGTCTGTTTTAATTGATACTAATAAAGATGTAGCTGCTTATTTTAGGACAGTATTTGTCTGGGCATAACTTTTTCTGTCTTTTTACCTCTAGCCTTTCTATGCCTTCATGTCTTAAAGTCCTGTTTAAAGCACATCGTTGTAATTTGTTTTAATATTTTCTTAGTCCATCCTGACATTTTGGGGATATTTCTGTCCTTTTATTGTGTAATTTCTGTGTGGCCTGTTTTCTTTGTGATTCACTTCTCTTTTGCTGCTTTTTGGATTTATTAAGTGATTCACTCCATTTTTTCCTTTATTGTTTTGGAAATTACACACTGCTTCTTCAGCAGTACCCTTGACATTTTAACATGGGTAGTTTATTTAATGTCAGTTTAATCAGAAATGTTTTCTTTCTGAATAATACAAAGATTTTAAAATATTGAACTTCAGTCACTCCATTGTCTGTATTGTATTTTCATGGTGTATGCTAGCTCTGCCTTCTTATTTCCAAAATTAAACGTTACAATTATCTTGTATAATCAGTATTTCTCTGGATTTACCCATGTGGTTACTAATCTCTATGCTCACCAAGCTTTTCATTATGTCAAACATAATTTTGTTTCTTATGAAATACAGTTGATATTCATTATCGTAAGATTCTCTATTTGCAAATTTTCCTGCCTTCTAAAATTGGTAACCTGAAAAATCAATAGTTGGGGCAATTTCATGGTTATTCCAGGACATAAACAGAGCAGTAAAAATTGATTTTGCCCAATGTGTGTGTTCCCAGCTGAAGCAGGACAAGGCAATTAATGCTCGTTCTTCTTTCTTCAGTTTGCATACTGTAAACAAGTGTCTTTTTTGCTTCCTACTTAGTGCCACATATTTTTGTATTTTTGTGTTTTTTGTTGGTAATTTTATTGTTTAAAATGGTCCTCAAGCTTACTGCTGAAGTGCTTCCTAGTGTTCCTAAGGGCAATAACGTTGTGATGTGTCTTATGGAGAAAATCCATGCGTTAGAGAAGCTTCTTTCAGGCATGAATCACAGTGCTGTTGCCTGTGAAGTCAATGTTAATGAATCAACAATATTTACTAAATTAGATGTGTTATAACAGAAACCCATATAACATAAGGTTTTATATATATATATATATAAATAAGGTGTTGTATATATAAAATAAGGTTTTATATATATATAAAATAAGGTTTTATATATATATAAAATAAGGTTTTATATATATATAAAATAAGGTTTTATATATATATAATAAGGTTTTATATATATAAAATAAGGTTTTATATATATAAAATAAGGTTTTATATATATATAAAATAAGGTTTTATATATATATATAAAATAAGGTTTTATATATATATATAAAATAAGGTTTTATATATATATATAAAATAAGGTTTTATATATATATATAAAATAAGGTTTTATATATATATAAAATAAGGTTTTATATATATATATAAAATAAGGTTTTATATATATATATAAAATAAGGTTTTATATATATATATAAAATAAGGTTTTATATATATATAAAATAAGGTTTTATATATATATATAAAATAAGGTTTTATATATATATAAAATAAGGTTTTATATATATATATAAAATAAGGTTTTATATATATATAAAATACTTTAAGTTCTAGGGTACATGTGTATGTGCAGGTTTGTTACATATGTGTACATGTGCCATGTTTGTTTGCTGCACCCATTAAATCGTCATTTACATTAGATATTTCTCCTAATGCTATATCTCCCCCATACCCCCACCCCAAAACAGGCCCCAGTGTGTGATATTCCCCTCCCTGTGTCCAAGTGTTCTCATTGTTCAATTCCCACCTATGAGGGACAACATGTGGTGTTTGGTTTTCTGTCCTTGCGATAGTTTGCTAAGAATGATGGTTTCCAGCTTCATTCAAGTCCCTAAAAAGGACATGAACTCATCCTTTCTTATGGCTGCATAGTATTCCATGGTGTATATGTGCCACATTTTCTTAATCCAGTCTATCATTGATGGACATTTGGGTTGGTTCCTAGTCTTTGCTATTGTGAATAGTGCCGCAATAAACATACGTGTGCATGTGTCTTTATACTAGCATGATTTATAACCCTTTGGGTATATACCCAGTAATGGGATTGCTGGGTCAAATGGTATTTCTAGCTCTAAATCCTTGAGGAATTGCCACACTGTCTTCCACAGTGGTTGAACTAGTTTACACTCCCACTAACAGTGTAAAAGCATTCCTATTTCTCCACATCCTCTCCAGCACCTGTGGTTTCCTGACTTTTTAATGATCGCCATTCTAACTGGTGTGAGATGGTATCTCATTGTGGTTTTGATTTGCATTTCTCTGATGGCCAGTGATGATGAGCATTTTTTCATGTGTTTTTGGCTGCATAAATGTATTCTTTTGAAAAGTGTCTGTTTATATCCTTTGCCCACTTTTTGATGGGGTTGTTTCATTTTTTCTTTTAAATTTGTTTAAGTTCTTTGTAGATTCTGGGTATTAGCCCTTTGTCAGATGGGTAGATGGCAAAAATTTTCTCCCATTCTGTAAGTTGTCCATTCACTCTGATGGTAGTTTCTTTTGCTGTGCAGAAGCTCTTTAGTTTAATTAGATCCCATTTGTCAATTTTGGCTTTTGTTGCCATTGCTTTTGGTGTTTTAGTCATGAATTCCTTGCCCATGCCTATGTCCTGAATGGTATGCCTAGGTTTTCTTCTAGGGCTTTTATGGTTTTAGGTCTAACATTGAAGTATTTAATCCATCTTGAATTAATTTGTATAAGGTGTAAGGAAGGGATCCAGTTTCAGCTTTCTACATATGGCTACCCAGTTTTCCCAGCACCATTTATTAAATAGAGAATCCTTTCCCCATTTCTTGTTTTTGTCTGGTTTGTCAAAGATCAGATGGGTGTAGATGTGTGGTGTTATTTCTGAGGCCTCTGTTCTGTTCCATTGGTGTATATCTCTGTTTTGGTACCAGTACCATGCTGTTTTGGTTACTGTAGCCTTGCAGTATAGTTTGAAGTCAGGTAGCGTGATGCCTCCAACTTTGTTCTTTTTGCTTGGGATTGACTTGGCAATGCGGGCTCTTTTTTGGTTCCATATGAACTTTAAAGTAGTTTTTTCCAATTCTGTGAAGAAAGTCATTGGTAGCTTGATGGGGATACCCTTGAATCTATAAATTACTTTGGGTAGTGTGGCCATTTTCACGATATTGATTCTTCCTATCCATGAGCATGGAATATTCTTCCATTTGTTTGTGCCCTCTTTTATTTAGTGGAGCAGGGGTTTGTAGTTCTCCTTGAAGAGGTCCTTCACATCCCTTGTAAGCTGGATTCCCAGGTATTTTATTCTCTTTGTAGCAATTGTGAATGGGAGTTCACTTATGATTTGGCTCTCTGTTTGTCTGTTATTGGTGTATAGGAATGCTTGTGATTTTTGTACATTTATTTTGTATCCTGAGACTATGCTGAAGTTGCTTATCAGCTTAAGGAGATTTTGGGCTGAGATGATGGGGTTTTCAAAATATACAATCATGTCATCTGCAAACAGGGACAATTTGACTTCCTCTTTTCCTAATTTAATACCCCTTATTTCTTTCTCTTGCCTGATTGCCCGGGCCATAACTTCCAACATTATGTTGAATAGGAGTGGTGAGAGAGGGCATCCTTGTCTTGTGGCATTTTTCAAAGGGAATGCTTCCAGTTTTTGCCCATTCAGTATGATATTGGCTGTGGGTTTGTCATAAATAGCTGTTATTATTTTGAGATACGTTCCATCTATACCTAGTTTATTGAGAGTTTTTAGCATGAAGCGCTTTTGAATTTTGTCGAAGGCCTTTTCTGCATCTATTGAGATAATCATGTGGTTTTTGTCTTTGGTTCTGTTTATTTGATGGGTTATGTTTATTTATTTGCCTATGTTGAACCAGCCTTGCATCCCAGGGATGAAGCCAACTTAATCTTGGTGGATAAGCTTTTTGATGTGCTGCTGGATTCGGTTTACCAGTATTTTATTGAGGATTTTTGCATCAAGGTTCATCAGGGATATTGGTCTAAAATTCTCTTTTTTTGTTGTGTCTCTGCCAGGCTTTGGTATCAGGATGATGCTGGCCTCATAAAATGAGTTAGGGAGGATTCCCTCTTTTTCTTGATTGGAATAGTTTCAGAAGGAATGGTACCAGCTCCTCTTTGTACCTCTGGTAGAATGCGGCTGTGAATCCGTCTGGTCCTGGACTTTTTTTGGTTGGTAGGCTATTAGTTATTGCCTCAATTTCAGAGCCTTTTATTGGTGTTTTCAGGGATTCAATGTCTTCCTAGTTTAGTCTTGGTAGGGTGTATGTGTCCAGGAATTTATCGATTTCTTCTAGATTTTCTAGTTTATCTGCATGGAGGTGTTTATAGTATTCTCTGATGGTAGTTTCTATTTCTGTGGGATCAGTGGTGATATCCCCTTTATCATTTTTTATTGCATCTATTTGATTCTTCTCTCTTTTTTCTTTATTAGTCTTGCTAGCGGTCTATCAATTTTGTTGATCTTTTCAACACACCAGCTCCTGGCTTCATTGATTTTTTGGAGGGCTTTTTGTTTCTCTATATCCTTCAGTTCTGCTCTGATTTTAGTTATTTCTTGTCTTCTGCTAGCTTTTGAATTTGTTTGCTCTTGCGTCTCTAGTTCTTTTAATTGTGATGTTAGGGTGTTGATTTTAGATCTTTCCTGCTTTCTCTTTTGGGCATTTAGTGCTATAAATCTCCCTCTACCCACTGCTTAAAATGTGTCCCAGAGATTCTGGCACATTGTGTCTTTGTTCTCATTGGTTTCAAAGAACATCTTTATTTCTGCCTTCATTTCGTTATTTACTCAGTAGTCATTCAGGAGCCGGTTGTTAGTTTCCATGTAGTTGTGTGTTTTTGAATGAGTTTCTTTATCCTGAGTTCTAATTTGGTTGCACTGTGGTGTGAGAGACAGTTTGTTGTGATTTCTGTTCTTTTACATTTGCTGAGGAGTGCTTTTCTTCCAACTGTATGGTCAATTTTGGAATAAATGCGATATGGTGCTGAGAAGAATGTATATTCTGTTGATTTTTGGTGGAGAGTTCTGTAGATGTCTATTAGGTCCACTTGGTTCAGAGCTGAGTTCAAGTCCTGGATATCCTTGTTAACCTTCTGTCTTGTTGATCTGTCTAATATTGACAGTGGGGTGTTAAACTCTCCCATTATTGTTGTGTGGAAGTCTAAGTCCCTTTGTAGGTCTCTAAGGACTTGCTCTAGGAATCTGAGTGCTACTGTATTGGGTGCATATATATTTAGGATACTTAGCTCTTCTTGTTGAATTGATCCCTTTACCATTATGTAATGGCCTTGTCTCTTTTGATCTTTGTTAGTTTAAAGTCTGTTTTATCAGGGACTAGGATTGCAACCCCTGCTTTTTTTTTGCTTTCAATTTGCTTGGTATATCTTCCTCTATCCCATTATTTTGAGCCTATATATGTCTCTGCACATGAGATGGGTCTCTTGAATACAGCACACTGATGGGTCTTGACTCTTTATCCAGTTTGCCAGTCTGTGTCTTTTAATTGGGGCATTTAGCCCATTTACATTTAAGGTTCATATTGTTATGTGTGAATTTGATCCTGTCGTTATGATTGTTAGCTGGTTATTTTGCCTGTTAGTTGATGCAGTTTCTTCCTAGCATTGATGGACTTTACAATTTGGCATGTTTTTGCAGTGGCTGGTACTGGTTGTTCTTTTCCATGTTTAGTGTTTTCTTCAGGAGCTCTTTTTTTATATACTTTAAGTTCTAGGGTACATGTGCACAACGTGCAGGTTTGTTACATATGTATACATGTGCCATGTTGGTGTGCTGCACCCATTAACTCTCTGTTGTGGGGTGGGGGGAGGGGGGAGGGATAGCATTAGGAGCTCTTGTAAGACTGGCCTGGTGGTGACAAAATCTCTCAGCATTTACTTGTCTGTAAAGGATTTTATTTCTCCTTCACTTATGAAGCTTAGTTTGGCAGGATACAAAATTCTGGGTTGAAAATTCTTTTCTTTAAGAATGTTGAATGTTGACCTCCACTCTCTTCTGACTTGTAGACTTTCTGCTGAGAGATCTGCTGTTAGTCTGATGGGCTTCCCTTTGTGGGTATCCTGACCTTTCTCTCTGGCTGCCCTTAGCATTTTTTCCTTCATTTCAACCTTGCTGAATCTTGCAATTATGTGTCTTGGAGTTACTCTTCTCGAGGAGTATCTTTGTGGTGTTCTTTGTATTTCCTGAATTTGAATGTTGGCCTGCCTTGCTAGATTGGGGAAGTTCTCGGGGATAATATCCTGATGGGTGTTTTCCAGCTTGGTTCCATTCTCCCCATTACTTTCAGGTACACCAATCAAACGTAGATTTGGTCTTTTCACATAGTCCAATATTTCTTGGAGGCTTTGTTCAAAAGAGTAAAAATTACTCTTTTTTCTCTAACCTTGTCTTCTTGCTTTATCTCATTAATTTTATCTTCAATCACTGATATCCTTTCTTCCTTGATTGAATTGGCTATTGAAGCTTGTGCATGCGTCATGTAGTTTTTGTGCCATGGTTTTCAGCTCCATCAGGTCATTTAAGGTCTTCTCTACACTGTTTATTCTAGTTAGCCATTTGTCTAATTTTTTCAAGGTTTTTAGCTTCCTTGTGATGGGTTTGAACATCCTCCTTTAGCCTGGAGAAGTTTGATATTACCGACCTCCTGAAGCCTACTTCTGTCAACTCATCAAAGTCATTCTCCGTCCAGCTTTGTTTCGTCACTGGCAAGGAGCTGCGATCCTTTGGAGGAGAAGAGGCGCTCTGGTTTTTAGAATTTTCAGCTTTTCTGCTCTGGTTTCTCCCCATGTTCGTGGTTTTATCTACCTTTGGTCTTTGATGATAGTGACCTACAGATGGGGTTTTGGTGTGGATGCCCTTTTTGTTGACATTGATGCTATTCCTTTCTGTTTGTTAGTTTTCCTTCTAACAGTCAGGACCCTCAGATGCAGGTCAGTTGGAGTTTTCTGGAGGTCCACTCCAGACACTGTTTGCCTGGTATCACTAGCGGAGGCTGCAGAACAGCAAATATTGTAGAACAGCAAATATTGCTACCTGATCCTTCCTCTGGAAGTTTCGTCTCAGAGGGACACCCAGCTGTATAAGGTGTCAGTCGGCCCCTACCAGGATGTGTCTGGGAGGTGTCTCCCAGTTAGGCTACACGGGGGTCAGGGACCCACTTGAGGAGCCAGTCTGTCTGTTCTCAGAGCTCATACACCATACTGGGAGAGCCACTGCTCTCTTCAGAGCTGTCAGACAGGGACGCTTAAGTCTGCAGAAGTTTCTACTGCCTTTTGTTCAGCTATGCCCTGCCCTCAGAGGTGGAGTCTACAGAGGCAGGCAGGCCTTGTTGAGCTATGGTGGGCTCCACCCAGTTTGAGCTTCCCGGCCACTTTGTGTCCCTACTCAAGCCTCAGTAATGGCGGACGCCCGTCCTCCAGCCAAGCTGCTGCCTCACAGTTCGATCTCAGACTGCTGCATTAGCAGTGAGCAGGCTCTGTGGGTATGGGATTCGCTGAGCCAGGCATGGCATATAATCTCCTGGTGTGCCGTTTGCTAAGACCATTGGAAAAGTGCAGTATTAAGGTGGGAGTGTCCCAATTTTCCCGGTACAGTCTGTCACGGCTTCCCTTGGCTAGGAAAGGGAAATCCCCCAACCCCTTGTACTTCCTGGGTGAGGCGATGCCCCACCCTGCTTTGGCTCGCCCTCAGTGGGCTGCACCCACTCTCCAACCAGTCCCAGTGAGATGAACCAGGTACCTCAGTTGGAAATGCAGAAATCACCTGTCTTCTGCATCAATCACTCTGGGAGCTGCAGACTGGAGCTGTTACTATTTGGCCGTCTTGGGATAAGGTTATATATTGATCAGTTGATGAAAATGTAACCACCTATTCCTGTATTTCCCCTAGAAGTAATGGTTCAGTATTTGCTAATTTGGTATTCTCAGCAACTTAATTAGACCATGACTACCTTGGACAACATGAATCAATTGTACTTCCTTTGGAAATTAGTGTTTTGTTTGAAAATTCTTTGGAGTCTAATTTTAGATCTTTTGTAAATTATCTGAACTTTCACTATGGCTCTTTTAAAGTTGTTATTGTCTTCGGTAGTCAGAGGCTTACTGTAATATATCTAGTGTAGATTTATTTTCTGCTTGGCATTTTTTATGCTTCCTGAATTAAAATATTAAAGGTTACTTTCATCAGTTATGCGAAGAGTCTCATGCATCATCTCCTTGAATATAACCTTTACATATTTTGTATTACAGTTTGTATTACAATCTGTTTGTATGCAATCTGTATTACAGTCTGCTATTTTTCTCCTCAACTTTATTTAATTTTTAGTTTTATACATCTAGTCATTGAAACCTAAGGGAATCCTAAAATTCCTGGGTTGAAGATGTTTCTCCAACTTGGAAGTATTTTAATATTTCAGGATGGGGTTTCCCAGATCCTTCCAGGAGGACACATTTGAAACCCAACTCCACATGATGACATTGCTGTGGCTATAAATTTGTAGGAGAGCCTTTGTTTCACCCTCAGCTTCCACCTAAGGCCCGTAGAAAGTTAATCATATCATCTTATAATCCCTTGCTGGCTGATAAGATATTTTTCTACCTACCCTTGTGCTAATGTTGTAACCTTCAAGGGTTCTGTCATTATTCAAAAAGTTCAGTTCCAACACTGTGGGAGTTTCAGGAGCTTCAGTGCTTGCTTACTAATAGTTCCTTCTTCCTGTTTTGTTCTTTCCCAGCGGATTTTCCTTCTTTTGGACTTCTATTATAGTTTATTCAGTATTTCAGAGTGTTTTTCTAACTCTTTAGGCTTCCATATTTCTAGAAGTAGCTCAAGTCTTTTGGGGGAAAAAGCATTATGGAACAGAATGCACGGTTGTGAAAGATCTATTTTTTGGCCAGTATTTTATACTGTAATCCTAATTATTAAATAAGACTAAGTTATAAGACGTATTCAGTAGTCAGTCCTCAGTATTTGAAGTTTACAGTAAATTTCAGGTTTAATCATAGCTGAAACCATTCTTTAAAAAACATAAAAGAATATGTTAACTATATTAACTCATCAAAAATAATTGGTATTGTAAGAATTAAAGAAAGAGGAAACATGAAAGTTTCTTTCGAAAGGGGGTGAAGATTGGCAGTTAACAAAGAGACTTTCCCCCCACCTCCCTCTGTGCCTTAGCTGTCTTATCTGTGTTTTACTGTCTGCTCTTTCTGGCTGCTTGTAGTTAGAAGAGAAGTGATTTCCTTGAAATGCATGAGGCTAGAATGGGAGCTGGAACTGAAAGTGGCAGTGTTTGTCTGAGATGATGGTGCTCCTGCTCTGTCATTCTAGGCCCTATAGTTATAAAAGGATGAGGGGCGATGTGTTCTTTCTGGTTACTTCCTGCTGATGGGGGTGTGGAGAGTTTCTTGGTCTCAGATTGCCTGCAGGAGCAACACTGTGTGTAGATGTTTTGAGGCAGTTGTCTGCGAAATGGCCATGATTCTGTCAGTTAAAAAAAAAAAAACGAAAAAGGTTAATTAGGCAGGGTTAAAACATTAGTTGTAGGCTTTTCAGCAGTGTTTCTTATTAGGCACGATTGGTTGAGTTAGAAGCAACATTTCTTCCCCAATGAGAGGCAGAGGCATGTGTTTGGAAAGACCCATGTGTTATTTTTTGTTAGTAACTGTTACTCCTTCTATGAGGATAAGAATTAACCAAAATGCTATGGTAATTGAGATTCTGTGTCCGGTATTCTACTCTGATAGTGCTACAGTATGTAGTTCTACTACAAATAGTAGAGTGAGTAAAGCAGTTCCCACAAGGGTGGCTTACTAAATTTCCATTAAAAAGGTTTTAATATTTGGATTAAAAGGAGAGGTAGAAGCGACAAAAGTATTTGGTGAGGCAGGGTTGAGATTGAGTAAGATGAGTAATTTTTACTTAGTTATCTTTTATGATTTTCAGTATAAGATTTCTTATTTTTTTTACATTGATATTTAGGGTATTTTTCTGGGCTGTTAGGGGTTGCTTTCTCAGCTCTTTAGGCTTTGACTTGAGTGTGATGTATCCAGGAGTTGTTCTGTAACGGATATAATTTAAACTGTAGAAAATAATAAAAACAAAAACATTAGGCAATACTAGAATTTAACAACAGGTGTGCTATAGTTTTTGAAACACAATTTTGTCTTCAGTTTCACATTTTTATTAAAATACAAATCTTTATTATACTTGGCTTAATTATTTGTATACAGTGCAGCAAGAATAATTACTTGCTACATAGGCCTTTTAAATAGTCTTTGATGGAACTTTGTTACATAGAAGGTATTTGAGATAAGACTTTTAAAAGTCAAGCCCAGCGATGGATTTTTACCATTAAATACCTATGAGTTGGTTGAATTCCTCTCTTCTTGAGGTTTTAAGATAACTTGGGGTTCCTGGCCTGTCAGAAATTGATAGTCTTTACTTACCACAGGTCAGAAACTTTGTACAGGGACTGTGTACACAAAGCATGAGGCCAGTTTTCCAAGGGTTTTATTGGCTCCTTCAGTCAAGTTTAATTCCTTAAAGGAGAGCACATCATTCCAGTCAAAGCCTTGGTAAAATAACCAGTTTTTCCAACTTTGTTCTGTTACAAAAGAAAATAGATTCCCACCCCCGCCTTTTTTTTTTTTAGACAGAGTCTTGCTCTGTTGCCAGGCTGGAGTGCAGTGGTGAGATCTTGGCTCAGGGCAACCTTGGCGTCCCGAGCTCAAGTGACTCCCCTGCCTCAGCCTCCTGAGCAGCTGGGACTACAGGCGTGCACCACCACGCTCGGCTAATTTTTTGTATTTTGGTAGAGACAGGGTTTCACTATGTTGGCTAGGATGGTCTCGATCTCCTGACCTCGTGATCCGCCGGCCTTGGCCTCCCAAAGTGCTGGGATTACAGGTGTGAGCCACTGCGCCCAGCCACAAAAGAAAATAGATTTTTATTGCACTGATGCAAACAACAATACTGTTGTAGTTTAAGAATACTTGTAACTAGTTTTCAAATTCTAGAGGAACTAGCAGAGAGAAACAAACACACTTTAAATTCTGTTTAAAGGAGTATACTTTAGTTAGTTGTAAAAGGCTGTAGCTAGCTTAAGACAAGTTTTCTTGACTCTGAAAAATAAACTAAAAATTAGCAGTGTTCTAAGCAAAAGGTAAAAACTTGTTTTTGTTTTTTACTAGTTTAGTCCATTTTATTAACTTTTGTTTTGCTTGAGATTTGTAAACATTTTAGCTTTTCATGAGTTCTGTATTTTTTTTGTTGTGAGAAGCCCACATTTGAGAGCACTTCTTCCACCACTTCGTTAAAAACCATCTTAGAAGACAATTAAAACAAAATAAGAATTGTCTGTAGATAACAAAATGTCCAGGTTGGATACAGTTAGAAACACAACTGACAAAGAAATTTGGTCATTTTTGTGGTTTACAATAACCCAACATAACAACCTTGATTGTGATTAATAGCACATATTTAGACACTAGAAACTTAGACATTCCATACAGTTTTGGAACATATGTTAATATTATTCCCTAAAATATAACCTATTAGACATTATTTTGGCAATTTTATGTACCTAAACATGTTAAATAATCCTGTTTACCTTTTTTTCCAGATGCTGCAGGGGTTAGGAAAGACAATTTTGAGACTAAAATTTGATTTTGAGAAGCCTGTTAAATATGTTTAAAATTTAAAATGCTTGATATTAAAATATAATTTTAGATTACCATAAGTTTTCTGTTTGTTTGTTTGGTTTTGCTTTGCCAAAATGATGAGTTAAAAATTTGGAAAAGCAAAAACCATTTATTAGCCTTTTGTATTACATGAAAATTCTGTTTAAGAGAGAAAGTTAAATTTTACCCTTGCATTAGTTTGCTATTAATGTTAACCCTAATTTTAATGAAACCTTCTAGACAATTTTATTTAATTTTACCTAGTTTGTCCATGAAGTGAGATTTTTACATACCCGTTATAACCCTTGACAAGTTTTGCTAAAGAGTAGATTAGCATTTTAAGAAAACCTTGTGGTGCTTTTAGTGTTTAATTTACAGAAAAAACCATATAATACCCCTTTGAGTTTAGTTAATATGTTTACACACAGAGATTTCTTTGCAGGATTAATTTTTACAATGTTTTTACAATCTGCTAAACCATCCATTTTATTTAATTTTAAGACAAGTTTTTATTCTTAAGCAAAATGTACATTTTTATGCCTTCCTATAATTTTTAACTAAAAACACTTTTTACTGTTTTTATATACCTTGCATGCAAATCCATGTTCAGTAGTTTTAATTACATCTTATAATGGTAACTTTTAGCAATTTTCAACTTTAATGTAAAACCTGTTTTTTTTTTTTTAAATTATGTGCTAGATGCAGATGAAGTTTGACTTCTTCCAGCATAGTTAGGGGCATAGTTACTTCCATCTTCCATAGGTTTCTGGCCTTACCAATTGTGAAGCAGGCAAGTTGACAGTTTTTAAAGGCTAAAGAAGCAGTTTACAACCTTAAAACATTTAGCAAACCTAGTATTTGACCTGCATAATGTAGACCACATTTTTACACCTTAAGAACATTGGTATTTTACCAATAATTCCTAAGACTGTTTTTATTTTTAAGTATTAAAATTACATGAACTGAAAGGTACCACAGCTTTTACTTTTTGTTAAAAATATTTGATTTAGCCACTTATTTTTCTTAGCCCAATCAATTAATTAGGGCTCTTTTTAATAGACATTGCACACATAACACATATATAGCCACACAGACAACCAGAAGAAGATCAAGTAGTTAGAAGGCTTACATTTGCTAATTTCCTAATTGGATTATTGGCCTCCGGGTGTGGCCCTTTAAGAACAGGGCTAGGAAAACAATTTTCAGGGCCTAATAGACAAGCATAGCTGGAAGACAAAGACAGATTTTGAGAGGTACTTATTCACCTCTAATTCCAGGGGTTCCATAAGGAAAACAGATTTTTCCCAAAATGGAATTTGTGATGCCTTTTCTGTCTTCCCAAGGAGTCCCAGACCACCAGAAGTTATTCTAGGGTCTTTTATGCATGCACCAAGACTGGAAAGACAGAGTGGAGAAAAGTAATTTCAACTGGAAAAAAAAAAACCTTTTTCAGGAAAACAAGATTTACGAAGAGAAAAACATAAAGGCCTTTTAAATACACTTATAGCTTGGATATCCATTTTAATTAAGCTGAGCACTCTTTTTTATTAAGGGTGAGGGTAGATGTTGGAATTATAAGAATGTTATGCCAACTTATATTAAAGGATTGGGTTACATGCAGGAATTCCCTGCAATAATGAGAGGGATTTTTAGAGAAAGATCCCAGAAGCTGTTCAATCTGCCACAAATCAGACATGGAGAAGGGGACGTGAACCCGAGCAATACCTTTAACCATAGACACTTACCGTAGGGGGAGAATGGCAGAGGAGGTTTGACTGGTTGGAGTAGTTTTTGAAGGGGTGGAGAAGAGGAGGGGCGGGGTTTAAGGTAGAAGAAAGCCTAAATATGGGGAACCTTTTGTCATTTGCTGTTTCTGATGATAAAGTTGTTAAGGTGCCTGAGAATTTGAAAGTTAAAGGTGCCGTTTTTGAGCCATCAGCTGTTATTATCTAGTCTCTATTGGGGCCAAGTCATGTTGCAGTATAAAATTAAATGTTTTGGATTTAGGGTCCCCTGTAAGCCAAGTTTGGTGAGGTTGCAAAGACAACAGCCCCGTGGGGAGGGCGTAGGAATGTGGATTGTTTGGCACCTATGTGGACTGGTAAGAGGAAACCAAGGGTGTCTGTTTTGTTCTAGGTATCCCCAGACAAAAGACAGAGACTCGGAATTCTGTTTCCGAAAGAGGATGGTTAAGTTGAGAAGGAAGTGGGCATCCCCAAGATTTCCTCTAGCTTAGTCCCGTTAGTCCTCCAAGGACCTGGATGGCAGGCCGGACTTTCTCCAGTACCAAGAGGAAGCTAGGAGAAGGCAGATCTTACCAGTCAGCTGAATTAGTGTCTGCTGTTGGATGTTCTGGTTGGAATCGGCAAAGGGCCTCCCAGACTGGAGCCACACGAGGAAG
Source organism: Homo sapiens (assembly GCF_000001405.40). Taxonomy (NCBI): domain Eukaryota; kingdom Metazoa; phylum Chordata; class Mammalia; order Primates; family Hominidae; genus Homo; species Homo sapiens. The sequence continues at coordinate 80,313,024 of NC_000023.11, read as the reverse complement.
AGAGAGAGAGAGAAAGAAGAGGGAAAAAGAGGGAGCAAGGGTTAGGGAGTGAAATACCCATTGTGTGAGGTCAGAGGTGGATTCCTGAGACCTGAGGGTTTTGAGAGCCCACTGGGGAGTAGCCCTGGCCTGAGCCTTGCAGTTCCCTTCAGATTAGTTGTCCTCCTCACACAAATCGCTTGAAAAGTGAAGTAAGAGTAGAGGTGGGGTGGGCGGCCAGAGACCCTCAGGATCCAGGAGTTAATTCAGGATGAGCTGCCATTACCCACTGCTTCCTGGGTTGCAAGAGAGCCTCTGCCCCCAACACCCATCCCGGGTTTCAGCACCAAATGTAAGAATTTTAAAGAAAGAGGAAAGAAACATGAAAGGTGGCTTGACAGTCAAGGACAGGTTTATTTTAGAGAAAACAAACCTGAGAGGGGCTTCTGGCTGATTTAGGTTAAACTTAAACTCTTACAGATTAAGAGTTTTTTAAGGATTTAGGGTGGGAGAGTTTGTCAGAGGCTTGGACTCCTTCTTGTCTCTTTGTTGTGCTTATCTGGGAGAGAGAGTTTTGTGTCTGTTCCTACACGTCTTTCTGCAACTGCAGGCATACCCCACTGAGTCTGCTTTTAGCTTCCCTATCTTAGTGTACCTGAGGGGAAAGAAATGTGCTTACTAAGGCCCACTGTTTTACTGGGGCCCATTGTATGAGGGTGAAGTTTCGCAGTTACCAAGAGATTTTCCCTCCACCTCCCACTGTTCCCGAGCTCTCTTATCTGTGTTTTACTGTCTACTCTTTCTGGCTGCTTGTAGTTAGAAGTGATTTCCTTGAAATGCATGAGTCTAGAAAGGGAGCTGGAACTTAAAGTGGCAGTGTTTGTCCGAGATGACGGTGCTCCTGCTCTGTCAGTATCATAATTCAGCTTTTAACTTTAGTGACTTTTTCTACAGAGACAGCAATTATATTGGGGAAATAATTTAGAAAATGAAGACAAAGAAAGGAAAAATAATATATTTTTCATCTATATTAGTGATTTTGATTTTCATCAGAGGTGCATTTTCCCTCCCCCACCCCAAGTGACTTTTGGCAATGTCTGGAGATGTTATTGGTTGTTACAACTGAGAGGAGTGGGTGCTTCTGACATCTACTGGATAAAGGCCAGGGATGCTGCTAAATTTCCTAGAATTTATAGGACAGCCTCACAAAGAATTATCTGGCCCCAAATTGAGAAACCTTGGCAAACCGTGTGTGTGTGTTTGTGTGTGTGTACATATACATATTTGTGTGTGTATATATAAGGGCATATAACTTAGTCACCAAGCTGAAATTGTTAAATCTTACAAATTTCAGGTATATTTTATATTAAAATTACACATAAATGTATACATATGCACTTATTTACAATTCTAGGTATATCTAGAATTTATAGCCTGGAAACTACTCAGGGCAGCACATTTATTCCTGTCATTATCCATAAATAAGGCATAGAATTAAAGCCATGAAACCAGTGAGAAATGAACAAGATAGCTTTAGTTTTGGTAAATTAAAGAAACCATTCTTGTTTTCTAATAGCGATATTATCAATCCAAAAGTCAGCCCTTTAAATCATATCATGTGTGTGCACTTTTCAAAATAAATAGATAAAAAGGAACCTTCCATCGTTTTTGTAAATGTCCTAAAGAAACACAGAAACAAGGTTTTAAAAAGTATATTTTACCTTTTTTCAGAGGTCATTTACCTTTTTTCAGAGGTCATAAAATACATAGAGTCTTTAGGCATTGAATTAGAGCCATGAAGCAACTGAGAGATAAAGAAGATAGCTTAATTTATTATTTAGTTTTGGTAGATTAAGCAAGCCATTCTTGTTTTCTAATAATGATACAATCAATCCAAAAGCCAGCCCTTTAAAACTATACCTTAGTGATCTAGTCATTACATAATCTGGTTGGTTTCTAAATAATTCGCAGCACTTTGTCATATATATGTGCATATACTTCATATTTATTTTTGTTTGTGACATGAAAATGAAAGATTTATGATATTCAATGTGGTTTTATTTATGGGAGTGCTTTTATTCCTAGTTTTTTAATGATTTTTTTCTTTTTTAATTAAAAAGTTTTAAAATAATTTTAGATTTAAAGAAAAGTTGTAAAAATAGTACAGCAAGTCCTTGTATACCTTCTACCAAGCTTTTGCTAATGTTAATGTCTTACAGAACCATAGTATAATTATCAACATAAGGAAATCAACATCACTACAAGATAAATAAATAAACCACAGATCTTATTTGGATTTACCAGTATTTCCATTAACATCCTCTTTCTGTTCCAGGATCCTACGTTGCATTTAGTCGCCATATCTCCTTAGTCTCCTCCAGTCTGTGACTGCTTATTCAGTCTTTCCTTGCTTTTCATGAATTTGACACTTGAAAAGTACGCTAGTCTGTTATATCAAATGTCTCTCAGTTCAGGATTGTCCCATGTTTTCTCTTGAGTAGATTAAGGTTATGTTTTCGGCAACCATGCCATAGAAACGATGCTATACCCCTCTCAGTTTATCATTTCAGAAGATAAATTATACTGAAATGTTTTATCACTGGTGATGTTAACCTTGGTTAAGTGGTATCTGTCCGGTTTCTCCACAGTAATTTCTCCCCTTATAATCAATGATTTCTATTAATTTGATATTTTTTAACAGAAAACAAGTGTAGAATAAAGAAATTGTTCCAGTTCCTCAAAAGCATTGTGACTAGTTGGTTAATATTAATCTTATCTCATATGTTTTATAATTTTAATATCTTGTTTGCAGGTAGTTATGTTGGGGAAATAACTTTTTGAATAGCCTTATCCTTAATGGCTCTTTTCAGAGCCATTATTTTACTTGAAGTTTGCTGCAAAAGAACTTAATAGGAATGCCAAGAAATGTGATAAAGAAGAAAAGGCTGAAAAGGCCAAGATTAAAAGGTAAGTCACTTTTAATATATTTACTTTTTTAACTCATGAAATGAGCATAATTAATCATGGAACAATGATTAATTATACATAGTTTATTTCATGTGAAGAAAGATTAATATCTTTAGCATTCTAAGCCAAGAATCCATTTAAATAAATTCCTTATTATCCTACATAGTTAATAATGGATTTTTTTATTACTATGTTTAATTGCATATACTATTTGTATGTGCAATTATGGCCCACAAGGCTAAGTTGCAACTATGCTATGTTACATACATCTAAAGACTATCCTTTGATTTATAGCTAAAACCACTTACTATGAAGTATAAAGCCTATATCTAAGAATAATATCAAACATTTTTTACTAATGTTTAAATTTTTACAGGTTCTAAAGTTTATATCTAAACATTGCATTAATGTTTACTGTGATTTGTGTATTTGCTAGGAGGATTCACAGAACTCAGTGTATAGTTGTACTTATGTCTATGATTTATTAGAGTAAAAGGATATAAAGCAGGATCAACAAAGGGAAAGTGTGTATAGGGTGAAGTCTGGAGGATCCAGGTCCAAGCTGGCAAGATTCCTTTCCCAGTGAAGTCACATGGAACAAGCTTATTTCCTCCAGCTACTTATCATGATACATGTGAAATGTCTACCAGGGAAGTTCCCCTGGGCTTAAGAGTTCCCAGTTTTTAATCAGTAGTCAGTCATGGGCACATTCTGCCTGGCACATACCAAAATTCCAGATCCCCAGAAGGAAATCAGGTGTTTGGCATAAATCACCATTGTTTGTACAAACAGTTTAGGTACAGTGAGCCACTCTTACCAATTCTGGGAATCTTCCATAAATCCAAGTTCCTAGATGCCAGCCAAGTGTCAAACGTCAAGTAGGCCTACCTGAGGATAGTAGTATAAGGTATGCTATGCTAATTCTTTTCTGTGTGTATTTATAGATCTATTTTAGTTTAGTTATTACTTTAGATATTCGGATATATAATAGTGTATATCTAATCCTTAAAATGAGTCGATTGAGTCACTTAGGGTATTTTGTCTATACTCTTAGTTGAGAACACTTTATGAGAGGAAAACTTCTAGAAAAGGATATGGAAGTCTTTAGGCTGAGTCTGCAGAAAAAGTAAACTTAAAGTTGATGTATTAGGATTATCCCTTTCTAAAAACATGGGCCAAATATTGCAAAGAAAGAAACCCCAAAAAGGTTTCTGGTCTAATATTTTTGTATACTGAGGAGTTTAGAAATTATTAAGAAATGTATCAAATCTCAGACAAGCACAGCAGTATTAAAACATGCAATTTACTCCACCATATGCAATCCTAATTAATTTTCTATTTTGTGGTTGACTGACAAGGAGTAGTGGTTCCTTAGCATGTGTCTAGTGCATTGCAATTCTACTCTTGCAACATTTCTTTGCAGTTTACTTTGCTTTTTCCTCTAGTTTTTCAGTCCTCATCCTCCTTTAACTGTTAATTTTTCCAAACTTCCCAACACATGGCCTACAACAATCATTTTTTATTAAAACATATTAAAGTCACTTTTCATTGAAATGTACTCACAAAGGGTTTGATTTCAAAATGTGTAAATCCATATAACAACATATGTTTGATGTGGATCGAATATAGAAGTTCATAAAAATAAAACCATATACATACTAGAAGAGAAAATGAGGGGTGAGTTTTTTTACAGTCTTGGAGGAAGGGCTGCAAAACACAAAACCCAGAAGCCAAAAAAGAAAGACTGATAAATTTGACTCTGTTGAAAAAAAATTCCATGTATCTAAAAATGTAATTAAAAGAAAAATACCTGGGAATGAATATTTGTAGAGCTATTAAAGCTTATCTGTTTAATATGTAAAGAGCTCTTAAACCAATTAATAAGAAAATGGCTAACAATTTATTAAAAATTAGGCAAAGCATATAAAATGTCTTTTAAACACAAAAGAGCTTACCCTTACTCAGTCTTTAAATGCATTATTTTTAAAATATAAATTAAGATACAGAGGTGAAGCAAGATAGTGGAATAGAAAGCTCCACCAATTGTCCTTACCCCCCAACCCCAACAAGGACACCAGTTAACAACTAACATTACGCAGAAAAAATTACCTTCATAGAACCGAAAATGAGGTGAACACTCACAATACCTGTTTTTAACTTCATATTGCTGAAAGAGGCACCGAAGAGATAGAAAAAGCAGTTCTGAATCTATGACACCACCCCTTCCCCACCCCTGGCAGCTGCAGCCTGCTTGCAGAGAGCATCTCTGGGCACTGGGCGAGGGAGAGGACAGTAGTTATAAGGCATTGAACTCAGTGCTGTTCTGTTAAAGCAGAAAGGAATTCCAGACCAAACTTAGCTGATGCCCACCCACACAGGGAACATTTAAACCATCCCTAGCCAGAGGGAAATGACCAATCCCAGGGGTCTGAACTTGAGTGCCTGCAAATCTCACCACTTAGGGTCAAAGTGCCCCTGGTTTCTAGGTAAACTTGAAAGGCAATCTTGGCCATAAGAACTGTAATTCGGCCAGGCGCGGTGGCTCACGCCTGTAATCCGAGCATTTTGGGAGGCTGAGGTGGGTGGATCACGAGGTCAGGAGTTAAAGACCAGCCTGGCCAAGAAGGTGAAACCCTGTCTCTACTAAAAATACAAAAAATTAGCCAGGTGTGGTGGCAGGTGCCTGTAATCCCAGCTACTCTGGAGGCTGAGGCAGGAGAATCACTTGAACTCGGAGGGCGGAGGTTGCAGTGAGCCGAGATCGCACTACTGCACTCCAGCCTGGGTGACAGAGTGAGACTCTGTCTCAAAAAACAAACAAACAAAACAAAACAAAGAACTGCAACTCTTAGGTGTGTCCTATGGCGGAAGTAGGCCCAGAAACAGTAGACTGTGTGGACACACGACACACTGAAACACTGCCTGGGGCAGTCAAGGGAGTGTTGGCATCACCCTTCCCTTAATTGCAGGCTGCACAGCTGGTGGCTCCAAAAGAAACCCGTTTTGCTTGAGGAGAAGAAGTGGAAGAGTAGGGCAGACTTTGTCTTGCATCTTGGATGCCAGCTAAGCCACCACAGGATAGGGCACTGGTCAGAGTCATGAAACCCCTGTTCCAGGCCCTAGCTCCCAGACAGCATTTCTAGACACACTCTAGATCAGGAGGGAACTCACTGTCTGGAAGGGAAGGACCCAGTCCTGCCAGCATTCATCACCTGCCAACTGAAGAGTCCTTGAGCCTTGAATAACCAGCAGCGATACCCAGGTACTACATTGAGGGCTTGTTGAGCCTCTGAGACTTGCTGGCTTCAGGTACCAACACTGCCATGGGGGTTAGAGCACCAAGTGGGCTCTTGGGGTCCCCTGTGTCAGGACTTGACTCTTGGACAGCATTTCTGAACCTGCCCTGGGCCATAGAGGAGGTCACTACCCTGAAGGGTGAGTCCCAGGCCAGGCAGTATTCATCACAAGCTGACTTAGGAGACCTCAAGCCTTAAACAAACATCAGTGGTAGCCTGGCAGTACTCCTGCTGGCTAGCTGTGGCTCTGACTATGGGGTGAGGCTCATCTGTCTTTGGAAAGGGGAAGGAAGACTGGGAAGGACTGTGTCTTGTAGTTTGAGTGCCAGCTCAGCAACATTACAGTAGAATACCAAGTAGACTTCTAAGGTTTTTGACTGAAGTTCCTGACTCCTGGACAGCACTTTTGAACTCACATGGGGCCTGGAGGACCTTGCTGCACTGAAGGGAAGGATATAGGCCTGGCTGGCTTTTCCAACTGCTGATTGTAGAGCTCCAGGGCCTTGAGCAAACATAAAGAGTAGCCAGGGAGTGGTTATAGCAGGCCTTGGGTGACAACCAGGGCTGTGCTGGCATCAGGTCTCGCCCCATGCAGTCATACTGGTAGTATGACACAGAGTTGCTTGTGTCACTCTACCCCCAGCTGTAGGTGACTCAGAACAGAGAGAGAGAGAAAGAAACTCTATGTCTGGGAGAATATAAGGGAAGAGAACAGAAGTCTCTGTCTGGTAATTCAGAGAATTCTCCTGGATCTTGTTTAAGGCCATCAAGATGGTACCTCTACGAGCCTGCAAGCACCACAGGGTTATGGAGCTTGGGGTGCCCCTTAAAGCAGAAACAGCTTAGAACACAACACTCAAGTCTTTTCAAATATCTAGAAAGCCTTCTCAAGAAGGATGGCTACAGATGAGGCCATACAGTGAAAACTACAATAAATACCTTATTCTTCAGTGCCCAGACACCAAAGAACATCTACAAGCATCAACACCATCCAGGAAAACATGACCTCAACAAATGAACTAAATAAGGTACCAGGGACCAATCCTGGAGAAACAGAGATATGTGACTTTTCAGACAGAGAATTCTAAATAGCTGTGTTGAGGAAATTCAAAGAAATTCAAGATAACACAGAGAATAAATTTAGAATTCTATCAGATAAATTTAAGAGAGATTGAAATAATTAAAAAGAAGCAGAAATTCTGGAGCTTAAAAATACAATTAGCATACTGAAAAATGTATCAGAGTTCTTTAATAGCAGAATGGATCTAGCAGAAGAAAGAATTAGTGAGCTTGAAGACAGTCTGTTTGAAAATACACAGTCAGAGGAGACTAAAGGAAAAAAAAGAATTAAAAAATGAAGCATGACTACAGGATCTAGAAAAATACTCTAAAAGGGCAAATGTCAGAGTTATTGGCCTTAAAGAGAAGGTCAAGAAAGAGATAGGGGTAGAAAGTTCATTGAAAGGGTTACTAATAGAGAACTTCACAAACCTAGAGAATGGTATCAATATCCAAGTCCAAGAAGGTTATAGAACACCAAGCCAGTTTCACCAAAAGCAGACTACCTCAAGGCATTTAATAATCAAACTCCCGAAGGTCAAGGATAAAGAAAGGATCCTAAAAGCATCAAGAGAAAAGAAACAAATAACATACAATGGAGCTCCAATACATCTGGTAGCAAATCTTTCAGTGGAAACCTTACAGACCCAGAGAGAGTGGAATGACATATTTAAAGTGCTGAAGGATAAAAACTTTTATTCTAGAATAGTGTATCTGGCAAAAATATCCTTCAAACATGAAGGAGAAATAAAGACCTTCCCAGACAAACAAAAGCTGAGGAATTTCTACCAGACCTGTCCTACAATAAATGCTAAAGGGAGTACCTCAATCAGAAAGTAAAGGATATTAATGAGCAATAAATAATCACCTGAAGGTACAAAAATAACTGGTAATAGTAAGTACATAGAAAACCACAAAATAATATAACACTGTAACTGTGGTATATAAACTACTCTTATCCTAAGTTGAAAGACTAAAAGATGAACCAGTTGAAAATAATAACTACAACTTTTCAAGACATAGTACAATAAGATATACATAGAAACAATAAAAAGTTAAAAAGTGAGGGATGAAGTTAAGGCAAAGTTTTTATTAGTATTCTTTTCACTTGTTTGTTTATGCAAACAGTGTTAAGTTGTTATCAGGTCAAAATAATGAGTTACAAGATAGTATTTGCAAGCCTCATGGTAACCTCAAACCAAAAAACATGCAGTGGATACACAAAAAATAAAAAGCAAAAAACTAAATAGTCACCAGAGAAAAATCATCTTCACTAGAGGATGACAGGAATGAAAGAAGAAAGAGAAGATTACAAAAGAACCAAAAAACAAGTAACAAAATAGCAGGAGTAAGTCCTTACTTATCAATGATAACATTGAATGTAAATACACTAAACCCTCCAATCAAAAGACATAGTTTGGCTGTATGGATGAAAACAAGACCCATTTATTTATCTGTTGCCTACAAGAAACATACTTCACGTATAAAGACACACATAGACTGAAAAAAAAAGGATGGAAAAAGATATTCCATGCCAATGGAAACCAGAAAAGAGCAGGAGTAGCTATAGCTATATAAAACAAAATAGATCTCAAGACAAAAACTATAAGAAGAGACAAATAATGTTACTATATAATGGTAAAAAGGGGTCAATTAATCAAGAGGATATAACAATTTAAAATATATATGCACCCAACACTGAAGCACCCAGATATATAAAGGAAATATTATTAGAGCTAAAGAGATAGACTGGCCCCAATACAATAAAAGCTAGAGACTTTAACATCCCACTTTCAGAATTTGATCGATCTTCCCAGGGAAAAATCAGCAAAGAAACATTAGACTTAAATATTCACTATTGACCAAAAGGTTCTAATAGATATTTACTGGACATTTCATTCAAGAGCTGCAGAATACACATTCTCTTTCTCAGAACATGATCATTCTCAAGGACAAACCATAATGTTAGGCCACAGAACAAATCTTAAAACATTTAAAAAAAACCTGAAATAATATGAAGTATCTTCTCTGACCACAATAGAATAAAGCATCTTCTCTGACCACAATGGAATAAAACTAGAAATTAATAGCAAGAGGAGTTTTGGAAGTTATACAACTACATGGAAATGCTCCCAGATGACCCGTAGGTCAATGAAGAGATTAAGAAGGAAATTGAAATATTTATTGAAATAAATGATAATGGAAACATACCGGTGGGATACAACAAAAGCAGTACTAAGAGGGAAATGTATAGCTCTAAGTGCCTACAACAAAAAACAGGGACAACTTTACATAAGCAATTTAACGGTGCATCTTAAAGAACCAGAAAAGCAAGAGTAAACCAAACGAAAACAGTAGAAGAAAAAAAATAATAAAGATCAGAGCAGAAAGAAATGCAATTGAAATGAAAAAAAGGACAAAAGATCAATGAAAAATTGGTTTTATGAAAAGTTAAACAAAATTGTCAACGTTTAGCCAGACTAAAAAAATAGAGAATATCTAAATAAAATAAGAAATGAAAAAGGAGATATTACAACTGATACTGCAGAAATGCAGAGGATCATTAGTTGCTACTATGAGCAACAATATGCCAATAAATTGGAAAAATCTAGAAGAAATGGACAAATTCCTAGATGTGTACAGCCTACCGAAATTGAACCAGGAAGAAATCCAAAACCTGAACACACAGATAACAAGTAACAAGATAGAAATCGTAACAAAAATTCTCCCAGTAAAGAAAAGCCTGGGACATGATGGCTTCACTGCTGAATTATACCGAACATTTAAATAACTAATAATACCAATCCTACTCAAATTATTTTGAAAAATAGAGGTGGAGGGAACACTTTCAGACTCATTCTTTGTGGCCAGTATTACCCTGGTACTAAAACCAGACAAAGACACATCAAAAACAAACAAAAAACATACACAAAAAAAACTACGGGCCAGCATCACTCATGAATATTGATGCAAAAATCCTCAACAAAATACTAGCAAACCAAATTCGACAGTAAATTAGAAAGGGCATGCATCATGACCAAGTGGAATTTATTCCTGGGATACAGGATGGTTCAACAAACACAAATAAACTCATGTGATACATTATATCAACAGAATGTAGGATAAAAATCATATGATCATTTAAATTGATGCTGAAAAAAACACTTGATAAAATTCAACATCCGTTCATGATAAAAAAAAACCCTCAAAAAACTGGGTATAGAAGGAACATACCTCAACATCGTAAGCACCATATAGGACAGACCCACAGCTAGTACACTTAATGAGGAAAAAACCGAAAGCCTTTCCTCGAAGATCTGGAACACGACAAGGATTCCTATTTTTACCATTGTTATTCGACATAGTACTGGAAGTCGTAGTTAGAGCAATCAGATGAGAAAGATACAAAGGGCATACAAGTTGGAAAGGAAGAATTCAAATTATCCTTGTTTGCAGGTGATAGGATCTTATATTTGGAAAAATCCAAAAGATTCCACAAGGAAACTGTTAGAACTGATCAGGAAACTCAGTAAAGTTGCAGGATACAAAATCAACATACAAAAATCAGTAGCATTTCTCTATGCCAACAGTGAACAATGTGAAAAAGAAATTTAAAAAGTAATCCCATTTACAATAGCCACACAGAAAATTAAATACCTAGGAATTAACCAAAGAAGTGAAAGATCTCTATAATGAAAACTAAAACCTTGATTAAAAAAGTGAAGAGGACCAAAAAAATGGGAAAATATTCCATGTTCATGGATTGGAAGAATAAATATTGTTAAAATGTCCACACTACCCAAAACAGTATACAGATTCAGCACAATCCCTGTCAAAATACCAATGACATTCTTTACAGAAATAGAAAAAACAATATGTATGGGGAACCACAGAAGATCAAGAATAGCCAAAGCTATGTTAAACAAAAAGAACAAAACTGGAAGAATTACATTACCTGACTTCAAATTATACTAGAGGTATAGTAACCAAAACAGCATGGTACCAGTATAAAAACAGACACACAGACCAATGGATCAGAATAGAGAACCCAGAAACATATCCACACATTTTTGTCAAACTTATTTTCCACAATGGTGCGAAGAATCTACACTGGAGAAAAGACAGTCTCTACGTTAAATGGTGCTGGGAAAACTGAATATTCATATCCAGAAGAATGAAACTAGACCTTTATCTTTTTCCATATACAAAAAATCAAATCAAAGTGGATTAAGGACTTAAATCTAAGACCTCAAACTGTGTAACTATTACAATAAAACATTTGGGTAAATCTGGACATTTATCTGGGCAAAAAATTCCTTGAGCAGTACTGTACAAGTCCAGGCAACCAAAGCAGAAATGGACAAATGGGATCACATCAAGTTAAAAAGCTTCTGCACAGCAAAGGAAACAATCCACAAAGTAAGGAGACAACCTCCAGAAAGACAGAAAATATTTGCAAATTACTCATCTGACAAGGGATTAATAACCAGAATATATAAGAAGCTCAAACAACTCTATAGAAAAAAAACTAATAATCCGATCACAATATGACCAAAAGATTTGAATAGACCTTTCTCAAAAGAAGACGTACACATGACAAACAAAGGTGCTATAAACATCATTGGTTATCAGAGAAATGTAAGTCAAAACTACAAAGAGAAATCATCTCAGTTCAGTTAAAATGGCTTATGTCCAAAAGACAGGCAAGAACAAATGCGAGGATGTGGAGAAAAGGGAACTCTTGTATACTTTAGGTGGGAATATAAATTAGTACATCTGCTATGAAGAACAGTTTGGAAGTTCCTCAAAAAACTGAAAATAGAAATACCATATTACCTAGCAGTCCCACTGCTGAGTATATACCAAAAAGAAAGGAAATCAGTATATCAAAAAGAGATGTGCACTCCTATGTTTGTTGCAGCACTGTTTACAACAGCTAAGATTTGGAAGCACCTTAAGTGTTCATCATCGGATGAATGGATAAAGAAAATTTACGTATACACAATGGAGAACTACTATTCAGCCATAAAAAGAATGAGATCCAGTCATTTGCAACAACATGGATGGAACTGGAGATCATTGTGTTAAGTGAAATAAGCCAGGCTCAGAAAGACAAAAATCACATGTTCTCACTTATTTGTGAGATCTAAAAATAAAAACAATTGAATTCATGGACATTGTAGTAGGATGGTTTCCAGAGGCTGGGAATGGTAATGTGGGGCTGGGGCAGATGTGGGAATGCTTAATAGGTACAAAAATAGTTAGAAATCATGAATACAACCTACTACTTGGTAGCACAATAGGGTGGCTGTAGTTAGTAATAACCATATGTTTTAAAATAAAGAGTGTAATTGGATTATTTGCAACTCAGCAGATAAATGCTTGAGGGGATGGATAACCCTTTCTTCATTATGTACTTATTTCATATTGCATGCCTTCATCAAAGCCTCTCATGTACCCCATAAATATATACACCTACCATGTACCCACTAAAAATAAAAATTATAAAAATTAAGTAAAATATAATTAAAATAGTATTTTTCAGGCTTATAAATATCAGAAAGGTTGCTAATATGCTTTGTTATCAAGACATGGGGTAACAGGCACATAATACTTTGATGAGAATGAAAATTATTATAATTTTGGAAGGCAGTTTGGCAATATCTCTCCAAATCGTAAATTCATATACTTTTTGATATAGTAATTCTATTTCTAGGACTTTTTCCTGAAGACACATTTGCATATGTTTATGGACATGCCAAGTTTCATCTTTATAGCATCATTTGCCATAAACAGAAAATAAATAAAAATAGATAGAACCCTCTTGCTCATTATATTATGAAACTGTCATATAATAGAGTAATACATAGACATTGAAAAGACTGAGATAAGCATGTATATTGAAACGGAATACTGCTAATGAGAAAAGCAAGGTGAACAGTTGTCCATCTATTCAACAATGCCAGTTTCTCTACTCTCTTGCCAACATTAGATATCAAAAAACTAGTCTTATGCCAATATGATTGGTGAAATAAGGTATTTCATGGTTTCAGTTTGTATTTCTTGTGAATAAGTTTGAGCGTCTTTTTATGGTTGGACATTTTTATTTGTGACCTACTTGTTCATAACCTTTGTGTCTTCTTTTTTTGTTGTTCAACTTTTTTAACTAATTTGAGAGTTATAAATTTTATGATCATGAAAAAAAGTGATACCTTTAAAAGCAGACACATAGATCAAGGGAACAGAATGAAGAGCCCAGAAATAAATCCACATGGATGGGATCGATCAGGGAGATGAGGGTAAGGAGTGAGGACCACACCAGGTTGAAAAAGCCTATATGATAAACATCAATATTTAATGGGATTGGGGATGGAAGGTGGAAAAAGGGGAACCAAAAAGTTTCAAAAAGGAACAACCAGAGAAGTAGGAAGGAGAACCAGGAGTAAAAGCGGTATATTGGAAGCCTGGGGAGAAGGGAGATTCAAGGAGAGAATGAATGATTGGCAGCACAAAATCTAGCAAGTAAGAAGGTTAAAATACAGCCAGTAGAATGACAGTGATGACCTTAGGAAGAGCAATTTCAGTGGAGTGAAGGAGGCAAAATCCAGGTTACAGCAAGTTGAGGTATGAATGAGAGGTAAGAATGGGAAGATAGATACTCTCATCGCCCTTATTTCTTCCTTGTACTACAGACTCTCATATCTGGCAATCATTTTGTCATCTCTCCTTGGGTATCTAACAGGCATCACAAACCTAATATTTTCAAAAACTAGAATGCTTGACTTCCACTCTTGTTTATGCTAAAACATAATCATTACTGTTCTGCTGCAGTATTTTCCATTTTAGTCGATAGCAACTCTACACCCATTTGTTTAAGCCAGAAGCCAGGGAGTCATCATTACTTACTCTTTTACCCCACATCTAGTTCATAGCAAGTCTACCTTCAGAATATATCCTGAACCTGACTAGGTCTCACCACCTCCATTGCTAACGTCCTAAGCCAAATCACATCATTTCTTGTCTGCGCTACTGCCCTGAGCTCTCAGCTGGTCTCTCTGCATCTACCATTGCCCCCTGTGGCCAATTATTTCCTCAATAGCCAGAGTGGTCATTTAACAGTAGATCATTATCATGTCATTGTGTTGCTTAGAGCCCTTCAGTGTCTTCCCAATGCACCTAGAACAAAATCCAAAAACCTTACCATCAAAGCTCTAAATGATATGGCCCTGCATGCAACTCCAACCTCATATCTTACTACTCTTCCCTTCAGTCACACTACTCCAGCACACAGTGGACTTCACATTTTTCCTGGAACACATCTCCCTTAACCTTGTCTTGAGGACTTTGCATTAGGCATTTCCTCTGCCTGGACATATTTTTTTTTCCCTTCAGATTTTTGCAGGGCTGTTTCCTTCTGGCCATTCAGTTTTCAACCTAAATGTTATTTCCCTCAAGTTACCTTTCCTAACTACCCAGCCTAAAGTGGCCCATCTACTCTATTACCCTACCCTGTTGTCCTGTTTTATTTTCAATAAAGGACTTGCTACTAATATAGTTGCCTTGTTTTTTTTCATTTTTTTTTTGGTCTCTTTTTACCAGTAGGGACCTTGTCCTACTCAGTTTTGTATGTCCAGCGCCTGATACATAATAGGCATTCAATGAGTGTCAGTAGACATACGAATGGATGAAGGGACCTGCCTACCCCCTTTGCTATTATTTATATTGTGATTAGCTATTTTTTGGAACTTGATTTTTTAGATTAATAAAACAGTATTCTATCATATTAATGTTACTTAATTTTCCTTTTATTATTGGACATATAAGTGATAGCTAACCTATTTTTTGTTACTTTAAATACCACCATAAGTGAACATTATTTTTTTTTTGCATTTTGTAAAAGTAGAAATTTAATTGAAGTAACATGCAGAAATTATACAAGTACAGCTTCTTGATGAATTTTCACAAATGATATAAGCATTTAGATGAGAAAACAGAACTTATCAGAATATAAATCTCCTTATGCCCCCTTAACAGGCACTACTCCATCGAGAGTAACCTCCGCCCCCTTAACAGGCACTACTCCATCGAGAGTAACCTCCCTCCTGACTTTCAAACACCACAGATTAGTTTTGTCTTTTGAACTTTTACATAAGTGGATTTATGTGGCATAAACCCTTTTGTGTCTGGCTTCCTTTTGCTCAGCATATATGTGGGATTCATTCATATTGTTAAGCATAATTGCAGTTTCTTCAATCTCCCTTCTATGTAGTGTTAAGATTTTTCTTAGTGTTTTGTAGTTTTCAGTATAAGCATCTTTTTTTTTTTTTTTTTTTTTTTGGAGACAGGGTCTCTAGCCCAGGCTGTAGTGCAGTGGTGTGATCACAGCTCACTCTATCCTCAACTTCCTAGGCTGAAGTGATCCTCCCAGCCCAGCCTCCCTCATAGGCAGGACCACAGGCACAAACCACCATGCCCAACTAAGTTTTTTTCGTATTTTTTTGTAGAGATGGAGTTATAAATCTTTATGTTAATCTGATTGTGTCCTTAGTATGAGTTCCTGGAAGTAAAATTGCTGGGTCAGAGAGTATGTTTTGATTGTTATTTACATCTTGTGAAGTTGTTGAATTTAAAAGAGAAGAGAATCCATGTGACTTGGTGATATTTCCATAATCCATTTATTCTTCCACTCTCTTAAATGGCAATTTTATATTTTTTCTTCTCTTTTTAAAATCTCAAAAGACTCCTCTCCCACTCTCACTTTCAGCTGATGACCATGCTTTCTATTTCATTGAGAAATCTCTGACTACTATACTTACCTGCATCTCTGCCCAGAAACTCTCCCTTCCCTTCCCACAATACATGAACTGTCCATACTCCTAGCAACGACCAACTCCTCCCTTTGTGTACTAGGTTCCATCCCTCTTTCCTACCAGATGTTACTGCCCTAGAAGTTCTCTCTCCTGCATCACCAGTTTTACTCTTTCTCCTGAATCAGTCCTATCAGCATACAAACATCCTTAAATCTTTTTTTTTTTTTATACTTTAAGTGCTAGGGTATGTGTACACAGGGACATCCTTAAATCTTTAAAAGCTGTCTCCTGACAGCTGGCATGGTGGCTCATGCCTGTAATCCCAGCACTTTGGGAGGCCGAGGCGGGCGGGTCACCTGAGATTGGGAGTTCGAGACCAGCCTGACCAACATGGAGAAACCTCGTCTCTACTAAAAATACAAAATTAGTCGGGTGTGGTGGCACATGCCTGTAATCCCAGCTATTCAGGAGGCTGAGGCAGGAGAATCGCTTGAACCCGGGAGCTGGAGGTTGCAGTGAGCCAAGATTGTGCTATTGCACTCCAGCCTTGGCAACAAGAGTGAAACTTAACTTCATCTCAAAAAAAAAAAAAAAAAAAAAGAAAGAAAACTGTCTCCTGACTCCATTTTAATCTCTTGCTATTCTTCCTTCTCTTTGTATTTCTTTTTATTTATTTATTTATTTTTTTAATTATTATTATACTTTAAGTTTTAGGGTACATGTGCACAACGTGCAGGTTTGTTACATATGTATACATGTGCCATGTTGGTGTACTGCACCCATTAACTCGTCATTTAGCATTAGGTATATCTCCTAATGCTATTCCTCCCCCTCCCCCCACCCCACAACAGGCCCCGGTGTGTGATGTTCCCCTTCCTGTGTCCACGTGTTCTCATTGTTCAATTCCCACCTATGAGTGAGAGCATGCGGTGTTTGGTTTTTTGTCCTTGTGATAGTTTGCTAAGAATGATGGTTTCCAGCTTCATCCATGTCCCTACAAAGGACATGGACTCATCATTTTTTATGGCTGCATAGTATTCCATGGTGTATATGTGCCACATTTTCTTAATCCACTCTATCATTGTTGGACATTTGTGTTGGTTCCAAGTCTTTGCTATTGTGAATAGTGCCGCAATAAACATATGTGTGCATGTGTCTTTATAGCAGCATGATTGATAATCCTTTGGGTATACATCCAGTAATGGGATGGCTGGGTCAAATGGTATTTCTAGTTCTAGATCCCTGAGGAATGGCCACACTGACTTCCACAATGGTTGAACTAGTTTACAGTCCCACCAACAGTGTAAAAGTGTTCCTATTTCTCCACATCCTCTCCAGCACCTGTTGTTTCCTGACATTTTAATGATCGCCATTCTAACTGGTGTGAGATGGTATCTCATTGTGGTTTTGATTTGCATTTCTCTGATGGCCAGTGATGATGAGCGTTTTTTCATGTGTTTTTTGGCTGCATTAATGTCTTCTTCTGAGAAGTGTCTGTTCATATCCTTCGCTCACTTGTTGATGGGGTTGTTTGTTTTTTTCTTGTAAATTTGTTTGAGTTCATTGTAGATTCTGGATATTAGCCCTTTGTCAGATGTGTAGGTTGCAAAAATTTTCTCCCATTTTGTAGGTTGCCTGTTCACTCTGATGGTGGTTCTTTTGCTGTGCAGAAGCTCTTTAGTTTAATTAGATCCCATTTGTCAATTTTGGCTTTTGTTGCCATTGCTTTTGGTGTTTTAGACATGAAGTCCTTGCCCATGCCTATGTCCTGAATGGTATTGTCTAGGTTTTCTTCTAGGGTTTTTATGGTTTTAGGTCTGACACTGAAGTCTTTAATCCATCTTGAATTAATTTTTGTATAAGGTGTAGCATTCTTATACACCAATAACAGACAAACAGAGAGCCGAATCATGAGTGAACTCCCATTTACAATTGCTTCAAAGAGAATAAAATACCTAGGAATCCAACTTACAAGGGATGTGAAGGACCTCTTCAAGGAGAACTTCAAACCACTGCTCAATGAAATAAAAGAGGATACAAACAAATGGAAGAACATTCCATGCTCATGGGTAGGAATAATCAATATCGTGAAAATGGCCATACTGCCCAAGGTAATTTATAGATTCAATTCCATCCACATCAAGCTACCAATGACTTTCTTCACAGAATTGGAAAAAACTACTTTAAAGTTCATCTGGAACCAAAAAAGAGCCCGCATCGCCAAGTCAATCCCAAGCCAAAAGAACAAAGCTGGAGGCATCACGCTGCTTGACTTCAAACTATACTACAAGGCTACAGTAACCAAAACAGCATGGTACTGGTACCAAAACAGAGTTACAGACCAATGGAACAGAACAGAGCCCTCAGAAATAATGCCGCATATCTACAACCATCTGATCTTTGACAAACCTGACAAAAACAAGCAATGGGGAAAGGATTCCCTATTTAATAAATGGTGCTGGGAAAACTGGCTAGCCATTTGTAGAAAGCTGAAACTGGATCTCTTTGTATTTCTAACAAAACTGTATGAAAGAGTTATGTATATTTATTAATTCTTTCCAATTACTCTTCTTTCATTCTCTGCTGTACTCAATCCATTTATGGTTATACCACCACCATTCACTAAAATTGAAGCTTTTACTTTGGTCTAGTGGTCAGTTGACCTACCACTAGCTTTTGTCACAATGTGACTTCCCAATGTACATCTCTGGCCTAGCCTTTTCCCTTGAACTCCAGACTCCTCTATCCACCTGCTTATTTCATGTTTCCACTTGGATGTCCAAGGAGTAAACCAAACTTAAAACTGAAGCCCTTATGTGGCATCCTTTCCAATATGGTTTTTCTAAAATCAGTTAAAGGTAATTCTGTTAGACAAAATCAAAACCAAACATTATTAGAGTACAGTCATGTTTTAGCCCTCTGTTTTTTCATATATTACATCTGATCTATCAGCAAATCTTACCATTTCTACCTTTAAAATGTATTCAAAATCTAATCATTTCTTATCCAATGTCTAATGCACCTACCGTGACCCAAGCTATCATTATATCTTACCTCAGTTAGTACAGTGAACTTCTAATTTGTCTCCCTGTTCCTGACTCTTGTCCCCTAAGTATTATCTTAACACAGCGGCCAGAGAGAGCATTTTAAAAACAGAAGCCAGATCATGTCACTTGTCTGTTCTTGTTCTCATCCTACTCCAAGTAAAGCCAGAGTCTTAAAATGGCCTATAAAGCCATATATGATCTGACTATTATCTATCTGATTCCATCTGCTCTTCTACTCTTCATTCACTCTGCTTCAGACACATTGTACTACTGTGTAAATGACACATGCTTGCATAAGCTCCCCTTTTTTGCTCTTTTTCTTCCTGCTGTGCTGAATATCCATATGACTAGGTTCTTATCTTCCTTCAGCAGAGAGAAAACCATTTTTCTTTCAGGTATTTACTTAGATGTCACCTTCACAGTAAGTCTTTCTGGGCTATCTTCTGTAAAATTTCAACAACCGCAATCCTAACTCTTCCTATCCTCATTCCCTGCTCTATTTTTACTTCCTGATACCTGCCACTAGTTAACATACTATTTTAATTATCTGGTTTATAGTCAGATTCTTTAACTAGAATATAAGCTCCATAACAACAGGGGTTTTTGTGTTTTGGGTTCACTACTGAATTCCACATGCCTAGAATACTGTCCGGCATTTGCTAGATGCTCAGTAAATATTTGAATAAATGAATGTATGTATATTAAGACAGTTACCTCTAGGATATGAGACAGGGCAACTGGGGTAGGAGGAACACCTGATTATTAACTATATGCTCTTTTCCACTTGAATACTGTACCCGTGTGCATGCATTTGTTTTATAATGTGAATTTTAAAACTAGCTAAAATAACAAAAATTAGGCACCAGACAAAAATATTTTAAGTATATTTAAGGAGGAAAAGAGGGAATACTTCAGTAAATGGCATTAGAAAACTATAGATCACTACATTATACTTTTCACCAAAATAAATGCTAAATTTAGTAATTAAAAGATTAAAATGCCAAAATTACCTTGAGATACAGATGGATGTTTTGAGCATAGTAAAAAACCATAAAGGAAATACCTGACTATAAAAGAATTAGACATTTTTATATCAGACATACACAAAATAGCAGTTCATCCAACAATCTAGAAAAGGCCATATATAACAAAAAGTAATTTTCGTATGAAATGTTCTTGCAAATCAATAAGAAAAAGCCCAAGAAAGATGGACAAAGACACAAATGGCTCAAGAAAGAAGAAGTACAAATGGGTAAGCATAAAGATTTTAACTTCACTTTTAAGCAAAGAAATACAACTGTCTACCACTTTTCACCTCTCAGATATATCTCATAATACCTCATATTGATGACTATGCAAGAGAAGCAGAAACTCTCTTATACTGCTGGAAGAGATGTAAGTCCCTACCAGAATTAGGTGTGGGACAATTAAAATTGTGCATACCTCTGCATCCAGTAATTCTGAATCTGGGAACTTATCTTATGAAGATTCTTGGAAAGTGTGTAGGGTTGCATGTACTAGTGTGGTTATCACATTGCTCTTTATATTATTGAAGAATTGAAAAAAATATAATAATCAGAGATCCAATATTCGATGTCAAATTTCAGTCACTTTTAAATGTTTATTTTTATTTTTGTGAGTACATAGTAGGTGTATGTATCTATGAGGCACATGAGATGTTTTGATACAGGCATGCAATGTGAAATAAGCACATCAAGGATAATGGGGTATCCATCCTCTCAAGCATTTATCCCTTGAGTTACAAACAATCTAATTACCTTCTTGGTTTTGCCATATTGGAGGACCATGTGAGCTATTTATTTACTTTTTTTAAAAATTGACTTAACTTTAGCTCTGTCCTAAGCTTTTATACCAGAAAAAAACATGGATTTATGTTAGTTACATTATTTTCATATAACATTTAAATAAATGCATAGAAAAGAAACTTAAATCTATATAACATGTAGTATCATTTGCTGTACCATCAGTAGTGTTTGTAGCACATGAAAACCCTGGTTAATGGTACATCCTTACAGTTCAGCCTTTAGAAATAATGACGTAGTTATATATTTTTGACTTTAAAACATTTTTTAAAAAATATATTACATGAAAAAACAAGTTCCAAAACAGTATGCTCTATGTATGTACTTTTGTAATATATTTATATAGTAATAAATATATTTATGTACTTGGAATGCCCTATGCTAAAATATTAACAGTGGTAATGGCTCAGTGATGTTATTATGGGCAATTTTTTACAGTTTTATGTTCTCCCCTCCCTTCCCCTCCCCTCCCCGTCCCTTCTTTTCGATGGAGTCTCTGTCGCCCAGGCTGGAGTGCAGTGGCGTGATCTCAGTTCACTGCAACCTCCACCTCCCGGGTTCAAGCGATTCTCCTGTCTCAGCCTTTTGAGTAGCTGGGATTACAGGTGCACGCCACCACACCCGGCTAATTTTTGTATTTTTAGTAGAGACGGGGTTTCACCATGTTGGTCAGGCTGGTCTCGAACTCCTGACCTCATGATCTGCCTGCCTTGGCCTCCCTAAGTGCTGGGATTACAGGCGTGAGCCACCGTGCCCAGCCTATGTTCTAATTTCTTAAACTATCAATGAATATATATTTTCTAATCATAAGATTAAAAATTATGGGACTATATATTCTCCTAATAATTAAGTGCATAATTATTTCCTGAAAAGCTAATTATAAGCTCTTACAGATTATAGGTTAATTTGGGGTTATTTTCCTCTTTTTAAAATATGTGTACTTTTGCTCTCTGTCTTTGCCAATATTTACTTTTGATCTTTGTTTTTGCCTTTATTTGCTTTTGCTCTGTTTAAAACAGGCTATTCAGAAAGGCAATAAGGAAGCTGCAAGAATACATGCTGAAAATGCAATCCACCAGAAAAATCAAGCAATTGATTTCTTAAGAATGAGTGCTAGAGTTGGTGCTGTGGCAGTCAGAGGTCAAAATGCAGTAACAATGGGCAGGGTAAGACTTGAGATCTATAAATATCAGAACTCAAAATTTGTTGCAGGGTGCTACAGGGTGCTGGTAAAGGTGCGACATATTCAAAGTACTTGGTGAGGAAAGTGATTTTGGCAGTGGATTTTGAACTAAGATTTAATTGTCTTTTTAAAAAACTTGTATTTTAAGTTCAGGGGTACATGTACAGGATGTATAGGTTTGTTACATAGGTAAATATGTGTCATGGGGGTTTGTTTTACATATTATTACATCACCCAGGTATTAAGCCTAGTATCCATTAGTTATTTTTCCTGATCCTCTCCCTCCTCCCACCCTTCACCCTCCAGTAGGTCCCAGTGCACATTGTTCCCCTCTATGTGTCCTTGTGTTCTCATCATTTTGCTTCCATTTATAAATGGGAACATACGGTATTTGGTTTTCTGTTTCTGCATTAGTTTGCTAAGTTTAATGGCTTCCAGCTCCATCTATGTCCCTGTCAAGAACATGGTCTCATTCTCATTCTTTTTAATGGCTACGTAGTATTCTATGGTATATATATATACCACATTTTCTTTATCCAGTCTATCATTGATGAGCATTTAAGTTGATTCCATGTCTTTGCTATTGTGAATAGTACTGCAATAAACATACATGTGCATGTGTCTTTGTAGTAGAATGATTTATATTACTTTGGGTATATACCCAGTAATGAGATTGCTGGGTCAAATGCTATTTCTGTCTCTCTTCTCTAGGTCTTTGAGGAGTCACCACTCTGTCTTCCACAATGGTTGAATTATTTGTCTTTTAATGAAGTGAAAAGTCAAAGAAATAAGATAGCCAATGCCTAGACTATAAATACATAACATTGTATATTTCTGTTAAAGAAAAGGTAGACAAGTTTCATAAGTTGATTTGTAAGTAATATATTTAGGAGACTACAAAAACTTTGAGACTGTTTGTATCATAGGATACTGTTTGTTTTTATCCTCCAAATAGGTAACAAGTCCATGTGAGGCATAGTTAAGTCTGTGGGTGCTTCATTGAGGAGTAGAACCTTGAAAAAAAAGAATTATGTTCAGACAGCATCTTTTCAGTGTAAGTTTTTCTGATAACCACATTTATTTTTACAGACTTCTGCCTTGATGGACAAATTCAAACACCAGTTTGAAACACTGGATATTCAAACACAACAAATGGAAGATAAAATGAGTAGCTCTACAACCCTAATAACACCACAAGTAAGTATAGCTTCTCTACTTAGAATAACTTTTTAAAATTATCTCACTTCAAATTATAATGGTATTGTGAGCCTAAATGATCTCTAGAATGCTAAATAAACATAGTGTGTCTTCACAATGATGGTAGGAAGTTACTGCTCATCCCCCAGATTCCTGAGGAGGCGTTTTCCCTAGCTTGTTTTGAAGTTCTGGGAATTGTACTGAGTTGTATGTCTAGAGTCTAGATCCTGGTTCTGTCTGACTGCCAGTGGTACTTATTGATAAAGGCCATTGTACTAGAGGCTCACTGACGCCAGTTGGTGTTAGATATTATCCCATGCCTCAGCTAGTTCATCTCATTGCAAATATTCTTATGTTGCCTCCCTACTCTTTAGGTGTTTTGTGTATGCATGAGTCAGAGGTGAACCAAATAGAAAATACAAGATGAATTAATTTTCAGAAAACTAGGATGTTTTCTAAACCTGGAACCTGGACAGAGACCTCCTATGAAGAAAATTAAAATTTGAAATTAGTTTGTGTGTGACACATGTCAGAAACAAAGTTTTGTAAAATTTAAATATTCAGATAGAAAATTTATTTCATTATCACTCTTCTCTCTGATCCCAGCACCTAACATGTGGTTAGTCAAATGAAAAGAGAACTTGTTATTACTACTTTGGATGCTAATATGGAAAAAAATATGATTTACCAAGTCGATTAAGAAGAAATCGACAGCTGTCCATCAACATTTTACCACAAACAGCTCTTTTCACAAAAAGGTAAATAATGAAAGAACAGGCTTATACTCAGGGTTTAGAGTTAAGAAGAAAGAATATATGTGTATATCTTAAATTGAGGATATATTTAACGATTCTTTTATACCCTCCCCTAGAGCTTTGTTCCCCAAAGTGTGTAGGACAAGATTCAGGAGCACTCTCACAACCTGGAAGCTCATTAGGAATATAGAATTTCAGAACCCCACCTCCAGATATATTGAATCAGAATCTTCATTTTAACCAGATTCTGACATGATTTGTATGCACAGAGTTTGAGAAGCACTGTCTTAGAGTTTCTGATTTTTATTCGGTTACCTTAGGAATCCTGAGGTGATTTTATGATCAGTGAAGTTTAGAAAACCCAACTGCATTTGAAAGAACTTGAAGTCAGGACACTTGGATTTATTTTTTTTTTGCTTTTTTTTTTTTTTAATTTGTAATTGACACATAATTATACAAATGTGTGTAGTACAGTGTCAGTGCATGCATACATTCTATAGTGATTAAATCAGCATTGTCATATCCATAATTTTATATGTTTATCACTTTGTGGTGATAACATTCAAAATCTTCTCTTCTAGCTATCTTAAAATATACACTATGGTGTTATTAGTTATAGCTACCTTACTGTATAACACCAGAACTTATCCTTTCTGCCAAACTAACTCTGTACCCATTGACAAATTTCTGCTAGTCCCTCCTTTTACCAGCTCTTTTCCATCCCCAGCCCCTGGTAACCACTATTCTACTCTCTACTTCCATGAAATCAACTTTTTTTGAATTCCACAGATGAGTAAGATCATGCAATGTTTGTCTTTCTGTGCCAGGTTTCTTTCACTTAACCTTATACCCTGCAGGTTTATCCATGTTGAGCAAATGACAGGATTTTATTTTGTGTTATGGCTGAGTAGTGTATTCTATTATGTAGATATACTACATTTTCTTCATCTTTAGATGAAACAAGTTGATTCCATATTTTGGCTATTGTGAATAGTATTGTAATAAACATGGGATTGCAGACATCTCTTTGACATACTAATTTCATTTTATTTGAATATATACCCAGGAAGGGGATTGCTGGATCACATGGAAGTTCTATTTTTTAATTTTTTGAGGAAACTACATATTCTTTTCCATTATATCTGTACTGAATTAATATCCTTACAAACAGTGCCTAAGAATTCTCCTTTCTCCATATCCTCACAAGCAATTGTTATTTTTTGTCTTTTTGATAAGAGCCATTTTCACTGGAGTGAGGTGATATTTCCCTGTGGTTTTGACTCACATTTCCCTGATGATTACCGATGTTGAGCATTTTTTCACATACTTGTTGGCCATTTGTATGTCTTTCGAAAAATGTCTATTCAGGTCTTTTGCAACTACTTTCTCCCATTCTGTAGGTACTTTCTCCACTGTATTTATGTGTTTTTTCCTGTGCAGAAGCTTTTTAATTTGATGTAATTTATCTATTTTTACTTTTGCTGCCTGTGCTTTTTGGTTTGGTTTTTGAGACAGGGTCTTGCTCTGTCACCTAGGCTGGAGTGCATGGTGTGATTATAGCTCACTGTAACTTTGAACTCCTGGGCTCAAGCAGTCCTCCTGCTTTGGCCTCCTAAGTAGCTCGGACTACACAAATGTGCCACTACACCCAGCCAATTTCATTTTTTTTTTTTGTAGAGATGGGGGTCTCACTATGTTGCCCAGTCTGGTCTTGAACTCCTAGCCTCAAGCAATTCTCCCACCTCAGCCTCCCAAAGGTGCTTTTTAAAAAACTATATTTGGGGGTACAGATGGAGCTTTGTTACCTGCATATGCTGCATCGCAGCAATGTCTGAGCTTTCAGTGTAACCATCACACGAATAGACCTGTGCTTTTGTTATCTTATTCAAAAACTCCTTGCCTGATCCAATTTTATGAAGCATTTCCCTGTTTTATTTTATTAGTTTCATAATTTAAGGTTTTTACATTTATGTCTTTAATCCATTTAGAGTTGAGTTTTCTATATGGTAAGAGACAGAGGTCTGTTTTATTCTTCTACATATGGTTGTCTAGTTTTCCCAGCACCATTTATTGAAGAAACTGTTCTTTCCCCAGTGTATGTTCTTGGTGCCTTTGTCAAATACATGTTGGGTGTAAACATGTGGATTTATTTCTGGTTATTCTATTCTGTTCTATTTGTCTGTGTGTTTGTTTTTAGGCCAGTAACATGTTGTTTGGGTTACTATAGCTTTGTGGTGTATTTTAAAGTTAAGTTGTATTAATGCCCCCAGCTTGGTACATTTTGCTCATGATTGCTTTAACTATCCAGAGTCTTTTGCATTTCTGTATGAATTTGAAGATTGTCTTTTTTTTCTATTTCTGGGAAAGTCTCTCTCACCTTGATGTTTGAAGGATAGGCTTGCTGGATACAGTAGTCTTAATTGGCAGGCATTTTTTCTTCAGTACTTCAAGTATTTCATCCCATTTTCTCATGGCCTATAAGGTTTTTGCTAAGTCTGCCAGCAAACCTATCGCAGTGCCTTTGTATACTATTTGCTTCTTTTGTCTCACTGCTTACAGGATCCTCTCTTTGTCCTTGACCTTTGAGAATTTGATTATTTTTGTCTGAGGTGGTCTTACTTGGATTAAATCTGCTTGGTAATCTTTGACCTACCTGCATTTGGATATTTATGTCATTCTCTAGGTTTAGAATGTTTTCTGTTATTTTTTCTTTGAATAAGCTTTCTACCCCTTTCTCTTTCTTTACTCCCTCTTGAAGGCCAATGACTCATACATTTGCCCTTTTGATGCCATCCCATAGATTTCATGAACATTTTTCATTGCTTTTTCTTTTTTTCCTTTATTTTCAAATAGACTGTTGTTAAGCTCACTGGTCCTTTGTTTTGCTTGATTAATTCTCCTAATAAGACAAGAATGCATTTCTTAAATCTCATTCACTGTATTTTTCAGCTCCAGGATTACTGTTTGATTATTTTAATCCCTTTGTAAAATTTCTCTGATATATTTCTGAATTGCTTCTCTTTGCTTTTGTGAAGTTTGTTAAGCTTACTCAAAACACCTGTTTTGGGTTTTCTGTCTGAGAGTACACACATCTCCATCTCTCCAGGGTTGTTCACTGTTATTTTAGTCTGTTTGGTGAGGTCATATTGCCCTTAGTGTTCTTGATTCTTGTGAATGTGCATCGATGTCTGAGCATTGAAAAATTATGTATTTATTCCAGTCTTTGCAGTCTGGCCTTGTATGTCCTCATCCTTCTTCAGAAGGCTTTCCAGGAATTCAAATAAACATGACTGACTTTTGAATTCACTAAGCTTGTGGTCACTGCAGCAGTTTCAGCACTAGAGGGTGCCCTAAGCTTAGGTTTGCTGCCACTCTCTTGAGGGCTTTGAGGCTTCCAGCCCTGATGGACTTGGGAAAATTCAGGGAGAGTTCCCTGGGCAAAGTCCCTCACTCACTTCTTTTCTCTCCAAGTGGAAAGAGTCTTTATCCATGCTATACTGCCTGAGGTTGGGGGAGGGGTGAAGTGGATAGTCTGTGGCCTCTGCAGCTGATGTCACAGTGTGTCAAACCAAAAGCCCCAGACCAGTGCATCACCAGGGCTCAGTCAAGGACTGCAGTTGTGATAGCCTTCCTGCCACTGAAATTTATTCAGAGCCTAAGGCTACTTTTGTCAGCTGTTGGTGAAGCAGGCTGCAACTTGGGTTCATCATGTTGGGACCACAGATTCCCATCTGGCCTGTGGCGGATGTAGGAGCTCCATCCTTGGGCACGAGCCTAGAATGAGGGGCCTTAGGGTTCTGCTTGGTGCTGTGTTTTACTGTGGCAGGCTGGTACTGATTCCAAGGCAAAGTCCCATGCACACTTCCCTCTCCCTCCCCCAAGCAGACAGATTCTCTCTCCACGCTGTGCTGCGTACGGTTGCAGAAAGGGTAATGTAGGCAATGCGAGACTGTCCACCCTCCTTATTGCATCTTTTCTTGTGATTATTCCAAAACCAGGTACTGTGACCATTCGCCTGGTTTCTTTAGCTCTTGTGAAGGTGTTTTTGTTGTTGTTATTGTTTGTTTGTTGTTTTTGTTTGGCATGGATAGTTGTTCAATTTGATGTTCCTGCAGGGGGTGTGATTGCTATAAGGTTCTGTTTCACTATCTTGGTTACTTTGATTTCTAGTCATCACTCTGCTTCTAATTAACTTTGGGACCTTGACTCAGATACTGACTACCCCGGGCCTCAGTTTTCATAACTGTAAAATGTAGGAGTTGGATATGATGATATCTGAAGTGCCTCTCAGCTCATTCACCTGACATTCACTGAGCACCTTCTCCTGTTTCAGGTATTGTGCCAGGTGCTGGAGACATTCATATATATATATATATATATATATATATATATATATATAACATTAGTCATAAAAACTTAACCAAAATTTACAGCAGAAATGGAGAGAGATCTGGCTGAACACACTTAGTTGCCCAAATTCTCACACCCTGCTAATGAGTAGTAATTAGAATTCAAATTGGCACATCCACTTTGGAAAAGCAGTTTGGTAACATCTACAGTCTGTTCTCAGCATAGCAACGAGAGCAATCCTATTAGTACAAGTCAGATCATGTCATTCCTCTCAAAACTTTCAAGTGGTTCAACATTTTCCTCAGTAAAAGCCAGATTGTTTCCAAAGGTCCATAAAGTTCTACATGGCCTGCCTTACCTTGATCTGTCCTGACATGTTATTGCTCATCAGTCTACTCAGGCACCTGGATTTGTTGTTATTTGTCAAACACACCAAGTATATTTCTGCCTGAAAGCCATTCCACTTGTAGTTTCTTCTCCCTTAAATGTTCTTTCTCTAGACATACTCGTTGCTTACTATCTTACCTCCTTTAGGTCTTTAAGTCATTTTTATAGTGAGGTTTTTCCTGACCATCCTACTTAAAATTGCATCAACAGTATACCTACCATGCCTCCTGTTGTCTACCTTCCCTGCTTTATTTTTCTCTACTGTATATATCGCTTTCTAATATACCATATACTTCTTAAAAAATTTATTTGCCCTCCCTTCTCGTGTACACACTAGAATTTAAGCTTAATGAGGGCATCATTGGTGCCTCCCTAGCACGTAAAATATCTGGCATAAAGTAGATGTTCAAAATTTTTGAAGATTGTTGAATAAATCACAGTATATGAAATGTATGTAACCTAGTACTTTCACTTCCAAATTTATACACAAAGCAGCCCCTACATGTGTAGACAATGGTATATATATAGATCAATCTCTTTCTCTCTCTTTACACACACACACACACACACACACACACGTGCGAAAATGTTCATTGCACCATTTTCTATAATAGGGAGAAGTTAAGAAAAATCTAAATTCCAAAAATAGAATGGATAAATAAAACTGAGTCTATTTCTGTGTTGCAACATCATACAGTAATTTAAAGAGAATGAACTAGATATCTAGATCTCGATATAATCTTACAAGGTTGAATGAGGAAAGGAAGTTATGGAATAAAATCATTGTATAATACAATTTAAGTAAATTCTTGTAACACGAATAATGCTATTTTAGATATGAATTAAAACCAAAATGTTAATGCACATAGGAATCTACTATTTCATGAACTTTTTCGATATTTTGGAAATATTTTTAAAGTGAATGAAAGAAAACAAGAACTAAGGCCCAACAGCAAGGTTAGTGATTGGCTTAAAATCATACTCATTGTTAATGGTAGAGCTGGGATCATATCTTAGAATTCCCACCTGTATATTAAAAATATTTTCAATAACTTAGTTAAAAACTAGAAGAGTTTTTTAAATTATTAATCAGACTCTATTGCCTGAGAATGCCTGTACTTTAGTAAATATCTCAATACTTATATTTTATTCATCTCTGACATTTGAAAAAGTTAGCCTTGATATCAGATTTACATCAACTGGCAGAAAGAACAATTCTGATTATTGTAATCTAAAATTTAAATCTATTATACATAATAAAAGTAAAGTGGGTTAGAATGGAGCTTTTACAAATTGGTTCACTTGGAGAGATCTATATTACTAAGATTTAAATTATATGTGAACCTCATTGCTAATATTTCCCCATAACCTCATAGTTTTAAGCTTTAGAATTTAGTATTATTCAGAAAAAAAAAATTTTGAAATTATGCAGCTCCCTCTGGTGGTACAAAATATTTTTTAAATGCTTTCTTTTAAAAAATTAGAGACCGGTTTCCCTCTTTTAAAAGAAAACCAAAAACCATGCAAAAAGCAAATGCTTAATAGAAATCCGCATTTTCTTATTCTATATGCTGCTTCAGGAAATGGCAGATGAAGGTAGGTAAGAAGTTATCCAGGTGATTTTGGAAAATCTTGATTTAATATCTAGAGGTTCTAAAATTCTGTAATATAGATGAAAATATTTCTCTTTACCACGAATTGCCAGAGTTAGGTTTGTGACCCTAGAATTTAGTGTTTCAAGGGACTTTAAACAGTCATCCAATTCCTTGCCATGCTCATAAAAATTTGACTGTGTTTCAGTCATCTTAGTATTTTCTTAAAAATCTCTGGAAATAGATTCATTTAGTGTATGAAAAGAAATAGACAAAGGTGATCAAAGGAAGCAGCAGTGTTTGAACATTTGCTCAATACCTACTGTTCGCTGCATGTATGAAATATATAGTTTTTTTTTTTTAAAAAAAGGACCTTCCAAAATAATTCTGCTGTGATTAGGCCATTGAGTCATAAGTCTAGTTTGAGTACTGCAAACTGAGTAATATGTGCAAAATGTGAAAGGGGCTCAGAAGACAGCAATATTACGCATAATGATTTGGTTGTTTCTTTTAAGTAAATAATTCATACCCTTTTGTGATATTGCTATTGGAAACAGGATATATAATACATGAAGGGCTGTTTATTTCAGGCCCTTCATGTCATGGGAGAATGACTTATCTATGATATCTTTGCTGTAGAAATCATGTTGTATTATTATTCTCTGGTGTAATTTTAGTTCAAGATAATGTAGTAGTAAAAAATAAAAATTGATGCTAATGTTTTATAATGTATTTTCAAAGGTAGAGAACTAGTTTGAAATGAGGCTTAGTCTTATTTTTTTCTTTTCTCCTGGGAAGAGAAGATTTGGACATCTGGAAAATAGAGTTGATAAATCCTATCTAAGCTACTACCTGATTAGAATAAACAGTTAAGTTTATCAACTCTTTAGATCACTAATGCTAAAGAATTAAAATCGAGATTAATAAATTAAAAATCAGGTTTGTAATGTTCGAGAACAGGGCTGTGGGTTAAGTTGTGTGCTATTTTGTTTTGTTAGAATCCTAAAGTAGCCCATATGGAGGGGAACAAGAAAGGTGGTTTTTGTTAAGTATTATAACAAAGGCATTCTGTGTCAGAAGACTCCATCTTTTAAACATAGTCTTTATAAGAGACTAAGGACTTGTTTCTGTTTCTGCTAAAGACTAAATTAGACGATTTGGCTTGAAAATGCAGCAAGGGAAGTTTTATAAAATGAATGCTGCCACATTATGGCCTTACTGACTCTCAGTGGTAAATGAAATCAGTAGGCAACTTTTGGATAAGGTTTAGAGCAGTATTTCACAACCTCGATACTATTGACATTTTGGGATGGATAATCCTGGGGGCTGTCATGTGCACTGTAGAATGCTTAGCAGCATCTCTGGCCTCTACCCACTAGATACCAATGGCACCCCTCCCTACAGTTGTGACAGCCAAGCATGTCTCCAGATATTTCCAGATGTTCCTTGGGGTAGTGACTAAAAAATCAAGAGACTATGTCAATATGTGGTGACTGGCAGTAGAAACAGATATAACCACTGATGTAGAAACACCAATGCCCATCTTTAAAGATGTTTAACTATCTAATTGCTGATTGAGTTAGTGCTTCCCCCAACTAAATTTTATGTCTTTACTTTTTCAATAAAAATCTGTCTATAGAATCTCACAATGGGCTGGGCGCGATGGCTCAAGCCTATAATCCCAGCACTTGGGAGGCCGAGGCGGGTGGATCACCTGAGGTCAGGAGTTCGAGACCAGCCTGGCCAACATGGCAAAACCCCGTCTCTACTAAAAAATACAAAAATTAGCCGGGCGTGGTGGTGCACGCATGTAATCCCAGCTATTCCAGAGGCTGAGACAGAAGAATTGCTTGAACCCAGGAGGCAGTGGTTGCAGTGAGCTGAAAGCATGCCACTGCACTCCAGCCTGGGTGACAGAGTGAGACTCTGTCTCCAAAAAATAATAATAATAATAATAATAAATCTCATAATGACTGTTAATGTCATTATATTATATTCCCTGTAGTATTTTCATACCGGAGTTGGCATACACTCCAATGGTTTAGAGACACGCAGAAAGGATAGTTTATGTACTAGAGGAGTGGTACAGTGGAGATTAAAATCATAGGCTTTGGAGACAGTCAAACCTAGATTAAAATCCTATGTCTATCACTAGAATGATCTCAGACAAGTGTACTTAACTTTTCTGAAACTCAGTTGTATGGCTGGATGCAAATAATGATTCCTGCTAAGGGCAGCCCAGGAGCTAAAAACTGAAATTGAAGTTAACTCAAATATTAGGTGAGGCTAGAGTTATCTAGCCTGTTTTATCTTTTTTAGCATATTAGTTTTCCTTCACAGTAGGAAATGTGGTAATCTACAGTACATCTAATATATTGGATAACCATTAGTTTGGCCTTTTGTTCTGAAGACCAGATCATTTCCCAGTATTATTATCTTTTATATCATAAGATTACCTTCCACGTGGGTCACTTTTAGGACTCAACAAAAATACTTTAAAATTAGTAAATTCATTATCTTAAGGTTGACATTCAGAAGATATTTAAGCTCAATTTATATTTATAAAATTGAACTTGTTTTATTTTTATGTAAACTAAGGTAAAATGGAAGATGGAATATTCAAATTTACAATACATATTAGGTAAAGAAGAAAAATGCCTATATTAACATTCATATGGTAATTATTATTATTTCTTTAAATTTATTTATTATACTTTAAGTTCTGGGATACAGGTGCAGAACATGCAGGTATGTTACACAGGTATACATGTGCCATGGTGGTTTGCTGCACCCATCAACCCATTATCTACATTAGGTATTTCTCCTAATGCTATCCCTCCCCTAGCCTCCCACGTCCTGACAGGCCCTGGTGTGTGATGTTCGCCTCTCAGTGTCCATGTGTTCTCATTGTTCAACTCCCACTTATGAGTGAGAACATGTGGTGTTTGGTTTTCTGTTCTTGTGTTAGTTTGCTCAGAATGATGGTTTCCAGCTTCATCCATGTCCCTGCAAAGACATGAACTCATCCTTTTTTATGGCTGCATAGTATTCCATGGTGTATATATGCCACATTTTCTTTATCCAGTATATCACTGATGGACATTTGGGTTGGTTCCAAGTCTTTGCTATTGTGAACAGTACTGCAGTAAACATACGTGTGCATGTGTCTTTATAGTAGAATGATTTATAAACCTTTGGGTATATACCCAGTAATGGGATTGCTGGGTCAAATGGTATTTCTGGTTCTAGGTCCTTGAGGCATAGCCACACTGTCTTCCACAATGGTTGAACTAATTTACACTCCCACCAACAGTGTAAAAGCATTCCTATTTCTCCACATGCTCTCCAGCATCTGTTGTTTCCTGACTTTTTAATGATTGCCATTCTAACTGGTGTGAGATGGTATCTCATTGTGGTTTTGATTTGCATTTCTCTAATGACCAGTGATGATGAGCTTTTTGTCATATGTTTGTTGGCTGCATAAATGTCTTCTTTTGAGAAGTGTCTGTTCATATCCTTCACCTACTTTTTGATGTTTTTTTTTTTAATTTAAGTTTTTTGTAGATTCTGGATATTAGTCCTTTGTTGTGATGGATAGATTGCAAAAATTTTCTCCCATTCTGTAGGTTGCTGTTGATTCGGATGATAGTTTCTTTTGCTGAGCAGAAGCTCTTTAGTTTAATTAGATCCCATTTGTCTGTTTTGGCTTTTGTTGCCATTGCTTTTGGTGTTTTAGTCATGAAGTCTTTGCCCATGCCTATGTCCTGAATGGTATTGCCTAGGTTTTCTTCTAGGGTTTTTATGGTTGTAGGTCTAACATTTAAGTCTTTAATCCATCTTGAGTTAATTTTTGTATAAATTGTAAGGAAGGGGTCCAGTCTCAGTTTTCTGCAAGGGCTAGCCAGTTTTCCCAACACCATTTATTAAATAGGAAATACTTTCCCCATTGCTTGTTTTTGTCAGGTTTGTCAAAGATCAGATGGTTGTAGATGTGTGATGTTATTTCTGAGGCCTCTGTTCTGTTCCATTTGTCTATATATCTATTTTGGTACCAGTACCATGCTGTTTTGGTTACTGTAGCCTTGTAGTATAGTCTGAAGTTAGGTAGCGTGATGCCTCCAGCTTTGTTCTTTTTGCTTAGGATTGTCTTGGCTATGTGGGCTCCTTTTTGGTTCCACATGAAATTTAAAGTTGCTTTTTCCAATTCTGTGAAGAAAGTCAGTGGTAGCTTGATGGGGATAGCATTGAATCTATAAATTACTTTGGGCAGTATGGCCATTTTCACGATATTGATTCTTCCTATCCATGACCATGGAATGTCTTTCCATTTGTTTCCTGTCTTATTTCCTTGAGCAGTGGTTTGTAGTTCACCTTGAAGAGGTCCTTCATATCCCTTGTAAGTTGGATTCCTAGGTATTTTATTCTCTTGGTAGCAATTGTGAATGGGAGTTCACTCATGATTTGGCTCTCTGTTTATCTATTATTGGTGTGTAGAAATGCTTGTGATTTTTGCACATTGATTTGGTATCCTGAGACTTTGCTGAAGTTGCTAATCAGCTTAAGGAGATTTTGGGCTGAGATGATGGGGTTTTCTAAATATACAATCATGACATCTGCAATCAGACACAATTTGACTTCCTCTCTTTCTATTTGAATACCTGTTATTTCCTTCTCTTGTCTGATTGCCCTGGCCAGAATTTCCAATACTATGTTGAATAGGAGTGGTAAGAGAAGGCATCCTTGTCTTGTGCTGGTTTTCAAAGGGAATGCTTCCAGCTTTTGCCCATTCATTATGATATTGGCTGTGGGTTTGTCATAAATAACTCTTACTATTTTGAGGTATGTTCCATCAATACCTAGTTTATTGAGAGTTTTTAGCCTGAAGGTGTGTTGAATTTTATCAAAGGCCTTTTCTCCATCTATTGAGTTAATGATGTGGTTTTTGTCATTGGTTCTGTTTATGTGATGGATTACGTTTATTGATTTGCATATGTTGAACCACCCTTGCATCCCAGGGATGAAGCCGACGTGATCATGGTGGATAAACTTTTTGATGTGCTGCTGGATTCGGTTTGCCAATATTTTATTGAGGATTTTTGCATCGACATTCGTCAGGGATATTGGCCTGAAATTTTCTTTTTTTGTTGTGTCT
Organism: Homo sapiens; assembly: GCF_000001405.40. Classification (NCBI taxonomy): domain Eukaryota; kingdom Metazoa; phylum Chordata; class Mammalia; order Primates; family Hominidae; genus Homo; species Homo sapiens. Next base: position 80,277,427 of record NC_000023.11, on the reverse strand, counting down.
CTGCCAGGTTTTGGAATCAGGATGATGCTGGCCTTGTAAAATGAGTTAGGGAGGAGTCCCTGTTTTTCTGTTGTTTGGAATAGTTTCAAAAGGAATGGGACCAGCTCCTCTTTGTACCTCTGGTAGAATTCAGTTGTTAATCTCTCTGGTTCTGAGCTTTCTTTGGTTGGTAGGCTATTAATTACTACCTCATTTTCAGAACTTGTTATTGGTCTATTCAGGGATTCGACTTCTTCCTACTTTAGTCTTGGTAGGGTGTATGTGTCCAAGAATTTATCCATTTCTTCTAGATTTTCTAGTTTATTTGCATAGAGGTGTTTATAGTATTCTCTGATGGTAGTTTGTATTTCTGTGGGATCAATGGTGATATCCCCTTTATCACTTTTTATTGTGTCATTTGATTCTTCTCTCCTTCTTTATTATTCTGGCTAGCAGTCTCTCTATTTTGTTGATCTTTTCAACATACCAGCTCCTGGATTCATTGATTTTTTGAAGGGTTTTTCATGTTTCTATCTCCATCAGTTCTGCTCTGATCTTAGTTATTTCTTGTCTTCTGCTAGCTTTTGAATTTGTTTGCTCTTACTTATCTAGTTCTTTTAATTATGATGTTAGGGTGTTGATTTTAGATCTTTCCTGCTTTCTCCTGTGGGCATTTAGTGCTATAAGTTTCCCTCTGAACATTGCTTTAGCTGTGTCCCTAAGATTCTGGTATGTTGTGTCTTTGTTCTCATTGGTTTCAAATAACTTATTTATTTCTGCTTTAATTTCATTATTCACCCAGTAGTCATTCAGGAGCAGCTTGTTCAGTTTCCATGTAGTTGTGCTGCGGTTTTGAATGAGTTTCTTAATCCTGAGTTCTAATTTGATTGCACTTTGGTATGAGAGACGGTTTGTTATGATTTCTGTTCTTTTGCATTTGCTGAGGAATATTTTACTCCAATTATGTGGTCAAGTTTAGAGTAAATGTGATGTGGTTCTGAGAAGAATGTATATTCAGTTGATTTGTGATGGAGAGTTCTGTAGATGTCTATTAGGTCTGCTTGGTCCAGAGCTGAGTTCAAGTCCTGAATATCCTTTTTAATTTTCCATCTCATTGATCTGTCTAATATTGACAGTGGGGTGTTGAAGTCTCCCACTATTGTTTTGTGGGAGTATAAGTCTCTTTGTAGGTCTCTAAGAACTTGCTTTATGAATCTGGGTGCTCCTATATTGGGTGCATATATATTTACGATAGTTAGCTCTTCTTGTTGCATTGATCCCTTTACCATTATATAATGCCCTTCTTTGTTTTTGTTTTTGTTTTTTTTTTTATCTTTGTTGGTTTAAAGTCTGTTTTATCAGAGACTAGGATTGCAATGCCTGCTTTTTTTTTTTTCTTTTGCTTTCCATTTGCTTGGTACGTATTCCTCCATCCCTTTATATTGAGCCTATGTATGTCTTTGTGAGATGGTCTCCTGAATATAGCACACCGATCGGTCTTGACTCTTTATCCAGTTTGCCAGTCTGTGTCTTTTAATTGGGGCATTTAGGTCATTTGCATTTAAGGTTAATGTTATGTATGAATTTGATCCTGTCATTATGATGCTAGCTCTCTATTTTGCCTGTTAGTTGATGCCGTTTCTTCATAGTGTCAATGGCCTTTACAATTTGGTGTGTTTTTGCAGTGGCTGTACTGTTTTTTTTTTTTTTTTCTATGTTTAGTGCTTCCTTCAGGAGCTCTTGTAAGGCAGGCCTGGTGGTGACAAAATCTCTCAGCGTTTGCTTGTCTGTAAAGGATTTTATTTCTCCTTTGCTTATGAAGCTTAATTTTGCTGGATGTGAAATTCTGGGCTGGAAATTCTTTTCTTTAATAATGTTGAATATTGGCCCTCACTCTCTTCTGGCTTTCTGCAGAGAGATCTGCTGTTAGTCTGATGGGCTTCCCTTTGTGGGTAACCCGACCTTTCTCTCTGGCTGCCCTTAACATTTTTTCCTTCATTTCAACCTTGGTGAATCTGACAATTATGTGTCTTGGGGTTTCTCTTCTCAAGGAGTATCTTTATGGTGTTCTCTATATTTCCTGAATTTGAATGTTGGCCTGTCTTGCTAGGTTGGGGAAGCTCTCCTGGATAATATCCCGAAGAGTGTTTTCCAACTTGGTTACTTTCTCCATGCCACTTTTAGGTACGCCAATCAAACGTAGGTCTGGTCTTTTCATATAGTCCCGTATTCCTGGAGGCTTTGCTCATTCCATTTCATTCTTTTTTCTCTAATCTTATCTTCATGCTTTACTTCATTAAGTTGATCTTCAGTCTCTGATATCCTTTCTTCTACTTGACCGATTTGGCTATTGATACTTGTGTATGCTTCACGAAGTTCTTCTGCTGTGTTTTTCAGCTCCATCAGGACATTTATGTTTTTATCTAAACTGGTTATTCTAGTTAGCAATTCCTGTAACCTTTTTTCAAGGTTCTTAGCTTCCTTGCATTGGGTTAGAACATGCTCCTTTAGCTCGGAGGAGTTTGTTATTATACACCTTCTGAAGCCTACTTCTGTCAGTTCATCAAACTCATTCTCCATCCTGTTTTTTCCCCTTGCTGGCGAAGAGTTGTGATCCTTTGGAGGAGAAGAGGCATTCTGGTTTTTGGAATTTTCAGCCTTTTTGTACTGGTTTTATCTCTTCATGGATTTATCTACCTTTGTTTTTTTGGTCTTTGATGCTGGTGACCTTCAGATGGTGTTTCTGTGTGGACATTCTTTTTGTAGATGTTGATGCTGTTCCTTTCTGTTTGTTAATTTTCCTTTTAACAGTCAGGCTCTTCTCCTGCCGGTCTGCTGGGGTTTGCTGGAAGTTCACTCCAGACCCTGTTTGCCTGGTTATCAGGAGTAGAGGCTGCAGAACAGCAAAGATTGCTGCCTGTTTGTTCCTCTGGAAGCTTCAATCCAGAGGGGCACCCACCAGATGTCAGCTGGAGCTCTCCTGTATGAGGTGTTTATTGACCCCTGCTGGGAGGTGTCTCCCAATCAGGAGGCATGGGGGTCAGGGACCCACTTGAGGTTGCAGTCTCTCCCTTAGCAGAGCTCGACCACTGTGCTGGGAGACCTGCTGCTCTCTTCAGAGCCGGCAGGCAGGAACTTTTAACTCTGCTGCAGTTGTGCCCACAGCCCCTTCCCTGAGGTGCTCTGTCTCAGGGAGATGGGAGTTTTATCTATAAGCCCCTTACTGGGGCTGCTGCCTTTCTTTCAGAGATGCCCTGCCCAGAGAGGAGGTATCTAGAGAGGCAGTCTGGCTACAGCGGCTTTGCAGAGCTGCGGTGGGCTCCGCCCAGTTTGAACTTCCAGGCAGCTTTGCACTGTGAGCGGGAAACTGTCTACTCAAGCCTCAGCAATGGTGGATGCCCCTCCCTCCACCAAGCTCCAGTGTCCCAGGTCGACTTCAGACTGCTGTGCTGGCAGTTAGAATTTCAAGCTAGTGGCTCTTAGCTTGCTGGGCTCCATGGGGGTGGGATCCATTGAGCTAGACCACTTGGCTCCCTGGCTTCAGCCCCCTTTCCAGCAGAGTGAATGGTTCTGTCTTGCTGGCATTCCAGGCGCCACTGAGGTATGAAAAAAAAAACTCCTTCAGTTAGCTCGGTGTCTGCCCAAACAGCCACCCAGTTTTGTGCTTGAATCCCAGGGCCCTGCTGGCATAGGCACCCAAGGGAATCTCCAGGTCTGCGGGTTGCGAAGACCACGGGAAAAGCGTAGTATCTGGGGCTGGATTGCAGCGTCCCTCACAGTACAGTCCCTCAAGGCTTCCCTTGGCTAGGGAAGAGAGTTTCCGGATCCCTTGCGCTTCCCAGGTGAGGTGATACCCCACCCTCTTTCAGCTTGCTCTCCATGGGCTGCACCCACTCTAACCAGTCCCACTGAGATGAGCTGGGTACCTCAGTTGGAAATGCAGAAATCACCTGCCTTCTGCGTTGATCTCGCTGGGAGCTGCAGACTGGAGCTGTTCCTATTCGGCCAGCTTGCCAGCCACCAACTGCTAATTTTAAGTTGTAGCCTTGATCTCAATATGCAACTACCACAGGGTCAGATAGATTCTCTTGGCACAATTGTTGCTTCCATGAAACAGGTAGAGATTGGATTTTATCTTTGCTGTTGTGTGTTTGATGTGTATATAAGTAATTTAGGATATATATATACATATATATATATATGTATAAATATATAGTATATAATTTAAACATGTTATATAAATTAAATATAAGTAAATATATATTCACCTTTTATAAAGAGTATTTTTCTACTGTAATAAAGTACTTTGTAATATATCATAAATCAGAAAAATGTGATCAGCCTTTAGCTCTGTAATGATGGGAATTATCTATTTGCATGCACGTTTTGTTTGGATATTGAATTTGCTCCCCTTCATAGCATCTGCTCTATTAAGATGTTCATTTTTTTCTGAAAAGTTTAAAAGAATTAAACTCTTAATGTTGGTTTTAGTGTGAATATTTGAGTTAGGATTTTAAATCATATTTAAAATGTGGACTATTTAAAATATAGTGTTATGTGATGGTTACTATGGGACTGAACGAAGGGGAATGAATGCAGAAATGAAAACAAAGATGAAAGGATTTGTTTTAAAGAAGGGGTCAGGGGGCTCCTTGTTTCTAGTGAGCAAAGGCAGCCCTGAGCTTCTACAGCCCTTCTTATTTATTTATTTACTTATTGAGATGGAGTCTTGCTCTGTTGTCCAGGCTGGAGTGCAGTGGCACAATCTCGGCTCACTGCAAGCTCTGCCTCCCAGGTTCACGCCATTCTCCTGCCTCAGCCTCCCTAGTAGCTGAGACTACAGGTGCCCGCCACCACGCCTGGCTAATTTTTTGTATTTTTAGTAGAGATGGGGTTTCACCGTGTTAGCCAGGATGGTCTCGATTTCCTGACCTCATGATCCACCCATCTTGGCCTCCCAAAGTGCTGGGACTACAGGCATGAGCCACCGTGCTGGCCGCCCTTCGTGTTTGTTGGGTAGAAAGAGCAGGGAGGAGGAGGTAATGGTTGATCAGCTGCTTGATTGATCACAGGTTCACATTATTGCTAACAGGCTTCAGATATGCCTATTCACAAGAAACACTTGTGCCTGGGTCGTGACTGCCCTCAGCATTCCTTCTGGGTGGCAGATGCAGTTTGTCAGTTTTCCAATATCCTGCTTTCATGAGTAAACAGTTTGCTGTTTACTCATATGGCCTCCATTGGTATACTGAGTTGATCACGACCCTCATTCTTTCAGCCTTCAACAGTGTTATGTATTTTTCACTGCCTTGGTGACTTGTAATATTTGCTTTCTCTAGGATAAACTATCACAGAGACTTGCTCTTCACCATGATTGAATGTAACTTAAAGAGCTGCTGCTTCTGTTTACTTCACTTGCCTCTGAAGCATTCTTTGTGTGTATAGATAAGTTGTACTCCACTTACACTAAAAATACTATGTATGTCAGAATGCTTTTTTGCCTATACACTATTTATATATAATGCTTTCTTTTGCCTTGCTGTACTTTTCAATACATTAAGAAATTCCAGGGAGTTTCCATCTTGACAGATTTTATATATAGTTCTATATATATTATATGTAAAAGTGTGAGGGATGTATTTTTGACAGAGCTAGCATTAGCTTCTTGTATATTAACCATCTTCCTCAAAAGTTAGATAAAAAATTCAGCACCAAAGTACTGCAAAGTACTTTATACAGAATGAAGTACAGAATAAAAGTTTTGGGATTTTAAAAATTCAAAGTAGTTTTAAATCTGTCTGCAGTGAGATGAGATACATAAAAATAAAAGCATGGAAATGTTTATTTAATGTTTACGTAGTCAAAATCACCTCATTTAGTGTCATACAATGGGTATGACCTATTTTTGTTTTGTGTTTTATGTTTTTGTTATCCAAGCAGAAATGCAGTTGACTTTAATCTGTATTTATCAGCTTTTAAATTTAAATTGTTTTAGAATTTTCAACAAGTGATTTAATGACTATTTAAATTCCTTAAATTAAAAACAGTTCCATTGATAATGTTCCTACTTAACTAGAAAAAATCTGCAACATTAAACCAGAGAAATTAAGGTTTGTTCAGTTTTACAATTTTCTCTTTGCTAAATATCATTGTTAAGACTCCCCCCAAAATTTAACTTTTCATACTTCCAGTGAAATTGTGAAACACATTTTAATGATTCTCCTATTTCTACTCAACCCTTATCATGCTGTATTTGTATTTTATTTTATTTTTAGTAGAGATGGGGGTCTCACTATGTTGGCCAGGCTGGTCTCGAACTACTGACCTCAGGCCATCCTTGTGCCTCGGCCTCCCAAATTGCTGGGATTACAAGTGTGAGCCACCACACCTGGCCTGTATTTTAAAAGGAGGTTAATCCACATGGTATTAATATAATTTACTTATCATACACATTTTTTCATATGATTGTTGATTGATTTCTATGACTCTTAACCTGTGTTTTTAAACCAACTGACAAAATAACAGTGAGAACACAACTGAACCAACTCAAGTTACATGTACTAGAATTCCTGGTTAAATGTGTTCATTCTTTTAACACAACTCTTTAATAACTGGAGAAAATGAAATGGACAGTAAATACCTTAAGATGTTTTGCTCAGACATGTGAATTACATCCAGCTCAATGGAAGTTGGGATCATAACATGGGGTTATGGGGGTGGGACACAAAAGTTATAAGGTTGTAAAGAAGAACAAATTCTGGAAGGCCAGGATCCTTGAGTTTAAAAACAAAATGACCAGTTGTACTACTTGTCATCTCCCCAGGAATACCTTTATTTTACCCAGATAAAATTAACAAATTAGCATGAGTATGCAATTTTCTGATATAACATTCTCAAATGTGGAGAAGTGATGAAGTTTTATTTTAGCAAGTATGCTACTAATCTAGGTTAAGTAAGTTAGGTGTTTTTTTCTTATTTACTGCAAGATTGATCCATGAACAAATTCCACTATTTTGTGAAGTTCTATCGAAGAGCAGATCTGTTTAGAAAATCTTGTCATTGTAAGTCATGAAGGCTTTCAAAGTGCAATTGCGGAGAGACTTCTTTGCTAAGTGTTCACTATTCATATATGGTGTTTCCCGCCATGTATGAGAACATGTATGAGTGAAGACTATATTCACTGGTTAATGAGATGAGAAATTATACTTTTTATAAATTTGGGTTAATCCTATTTAAATATGTTTGATTTAAATATGATTACTGAATGATTGTGACTTCCATGCTGGAATCTTCTATTTTGTTTATAATTGATACTTTGTCCTTTCTACTTAAAAGGGTAAGTTTGTTTTTATTTTAGCCATAGAAGAGATTATGGCAGACTAAAATGTCTATGGAATATAGAGTTTTCTTATTTTGCATTGTTAGAAATTGTGTAGTTTCTGTTCTTTTGACTTTAATAAACATTGTTAAATTGTCAATACCACTTACTTAAATGTACATGATTTTGATCTAAAGATAACTGCTCATGCTTTTAGTTTATAGTCCTATCATACTTGTCTTTTAAAAAACATTGATAGACACCAAGTTTTACTTTTAGATTCATCTATTATCTTACAAATGTAACAAGAATTCCTTTCTTAGAATTTGTTCTTAAACCAATAGCACCACTACCTGTGAACTCTTAGTTTTTAGTATAATTACATTTCTAATTGGATAATTGATTTAATAATTGAAAAGTAGTACATGTCAGACTATACTGTCATGAAAAACAGACATCATAGCACCTTTAATTTACCTTCAGTTTTAGTTGCCCATCAATCTTATTTTCTCCTGATTTTTTCTTATCTATTTGATTGTGTCATTTACTTCAATATATAAGGTCAAATGCTCAGAAAAATGTTGCTGTATCTTCATCCTTTAGACAATGTGGCTGACAAAAATTACTTCCCTACTCATATGCTTAGACACCTGAAATCTTCCACCTTCCTGTGAACCATTTTAGATAATCTTTATGGGCTGGATTATTTTGCCTGGTTAATTTATTACCAAATGTTGCTGCAGAGAGGAAACAGGAGTAGGAGATAGAACAAGTAATTATGATCAGAGATGAGTTTGCTTTCTAGTTTAGAAAGTTACAGGAAAGGACCATCTGGACTATCTGAACAGAAATTTAAGGGTACTAGCTATCTATGGATAAAGTAAGAACCTAAGATTGCTAGGATGCAAAGAAAACAACAACAACCAAAAACTGAGCTTAATTTGCTATAGATTAAATGAAGCTAGTAGATAGCAGCTTCAAAATAAAGTCTAAATTGGCTCTTGTGTAGATTGTAAAGGAAAAAGCCCTGGTTCTGAATTACAGTGATTTCATGTAAGGTGTAGACCTAGCTCTGATACTAACTGCTAACTTGGATAATACTTTACCCTTTTCTGGGCCTTAGATCCCCTTTCTACAGATCTTTTCAGAGTACATTGGTTGCATTACCCTAAAGGGTAATAGAAAAGAATGAAGGGAATGCACTGAACTAGTGAAACACTGCAATTACCCCAAAACTCACTACCATTACCCCCAAAAGAATTCTAAATGTGGTATTATGGTGTTATGGACCTTCGCATTTTTTTTTTCTCCGAAGACATAGAGAACATTTAGTTTAACCCCACCTCCCATTTTACAGAAGAGGAGAGTGAGCAACAGAGAGATTCAGATCCTCCACATTTATTGAGCACCTATTTATGTTAGGAACTGATCTGGACTTTGACATATTATAGTTTATTTAATCATCAAAAGAATCCTGTGTGCAAGGTGGGGTGATTGTTATTTTGATTTTTAGAGAACAGGAAATAGGCTGACAATTTAAGTAGATGGCATGGATTCATACAGCTAGGAAACAGCTGGGATTTGATCACAACTATGTCTCATTTCAAATCTAGTACTCATCCCACTATATCACACCTTGTCTTAATCCTCATCCATAATGCTGTTCGAAGTGTATCATATGCTAATTTTATTGCTGAGACAGACGATGAAAACTACTAATAAAATGATTGATTGAAGGCAGTTCATCCAGAGACAAACAGGTATTTAGCAGAATGTTTCAAAGTGAGGATTGGTTCTTTTTTCCTCCTTGTGAACTGTCAGAAAAATAAGACTTTCCTTCCTTAGAAATCACAGCAGTTTTTCCACAAGTTAACAAATGGAATCAATTTGTTACAAAGTTAACTAAGTTGTATTCATACTCAAGCTTTTCATTTTCCACACTGGAAAATGCTCTCAAGCAAGAAGATTTATTGGTAAAATAATTCAACTGAAATTTCCAAAATGAAATCTGTCTATTGTTATTGCTTATATTCTTGTAAATATACTGCTTCCTTACTGTAGTAGCAGGTACAAAGTTGTTGAAAGGGCCTTGCTACAAATAAATGACTAAAGTGCCTGTGGTACTTAATAACTAGTTTATACGTTAACCACTAATCCATTTTGTCTACCAGACAGCTGAAAGCCTTCCAACTTCAGTTAGAAAAGTCCAAATTGAATGTTAAAGGGACATTTATTCATGTAAAATGTATTACCTGGACTGTTTTATGTTCTTAAATTTTGTAAGGGAAGAAAAAAATTCTTCATTTAATATGTTGCTTGGTCATTAAAGTTAGGTCCCATATTCCAAATGAAAGTTCATAAAATGAACTCTATATATATATTTCTTAGAAATCTTGCTGAAACTTGATCGTGCTGAAGCTTGCTATGTTTAGCTTTTAATTTATCAAAATGACATGAAATAATTGTGAGGAAAAGATAAAAACATTAAAAAAAAACATAGCATAGTGATTTTGCCACTTAAAGGGACCTGGGTGTTGAAGTAATAATTAACAAGGGTTTTCTCTATGGAATTTTGACTATTGTTTAGATTCAATCAGACATAAAATCTAAGAACCAATCTGGGGTTAAATTAAAAGGAGAGAGCAGTGATGGAGGATGCTTTTCTAGGTAAAGATGGGGAAAAGAAAAATTTTAAATTGTTATAATTTATTGAGATTTACTAGCTTAATATTCTTTTTTTGAGACCCTCCAGGTGGAAATGCCCATTTACAGAATAAATAATTTTGAATCTGAAGCTAAATTTTATTTTATTTCTATGTGTGACACTTATTGTAAGCCTCATAAAGAATGAGCATTGCTTAGCTAAGTTGAGGATAGTGACATCATCCCACTGGCAAGAGACCAGACATTATCTTGCTTCCTTTTAACTCACCAGGAAGGCCTGGACCCACAGGAAGATTTTTGATATAAATCTCCAAATAAAACCATACCTGAGTCATCCCAATTCTTCTGAGCCTGGGTATATGAGGGTAGAGGGTGAGAGAGAAGTTCACAGTGGCAACACTCATTGAAGTGGAAACTTTTCACAGTATCTATATATTCAGCACCTGCAATGCACAAAGCTCAAAGTTATTTTACTATTCTGCCTAGAAGAGTGTTTCAAAATTCAAAATATTTGAATATTTTGTTTTTAAGGGAAGGAAAATGATAGTCAACATATGTGAAGTACCAGATATATAGCTATGTACTATTTTACCTGTGTTACTGCATCTAATCCAAATACTTCAGGAGGTAAATATAATCCCATTTTACAGATAAGAAAACAGACTCAGAAGCCGTTACTTCAATAGGTAACAATTTTTGAACACTTACTATGTGCCAAACACTAGTCTAAATGTTTTGCATGTACTAACTCAATCCTTACACTTCCCATTTTACATATGAGAAAACTAGTGAGTGGCAGGGCTGAAATTTGCACCCAAATACTTCTATGTTCTTAGGAACCTAGATATACTCAGGCCACCTCTGCTAAAAATGATTTATTATAAGGATATGTGGAGAATCACAGAGGGTGGTACGCCATTTTGCTAACCGTGCAAACACGTGTCACAGAGGGCGGTACACCATTTTGCTAACTGCAAAAACAGACTGCTTTGGCAGTCTGACAAGAGATCTGGATTATTAATAATTCTAATAAATGTTCTCCTCAGAAGCTGTTGTCTGTTGTTTCTGCCTCTAGAATTACAGCTTTGTGGTGATGTAATGATCACCATCATCAACTTCCTCTGTTTCTTCTCCAGTCAGCACCCATTATTGACATAACCAATTTTTCTTTTATACTGTATGAGAGAGGATCCAAAGGGATTATCCCATCAGTGTCCCAGCAGCCCACCTACTGGGTAAAGTTCTCATGCTAGACTGTCTCATAGCCAGTCAAAAAGCCCATTATGTGTCTGCAGATGTGGGATGGTCAGCTAAGAACACCTCAGAAGAGTACAGTGAGCATGGAAGAAACCTTGAATGTCCTGGCTTGTACATTGTCTGACCCCCTGAGCCCATTTTTATTATGGTGTACTGACATTTCTATGGCACTGGATTCTTACATCATTTCCATTAACTCAGTAAATTATCCACCTCCTAGATCAGGGCCACAGGACATAAGTTTGTCTCCAGTGTCCCACCTTTTCCTTATAACACCCATTGCTCTACTTTCAGCAACATTCCCTCATGTCGTGTTAGAGTCCATTGCTTTCCTGAGAAAAAAGCTAATGTTTGTTGGGTGCTTACTATGTACCAGGTATGTCACAAACTTTATGTCATAATTCTCCCAAAAGTCCCGTAAGGTAAGATATTATTCCCACTTTGTAATACTCTGGACCTGAGGTTCATAACGATACAGTGATCTCAGCCCTAGAGAGTGAAAGAGGCTGGATTTAAAACCAAGTCTGTTTGGATCCAAAGCCCGTAATGTTTACACTCTGCCAAATTGTCTCTGAAAGAGAGGCGTCTGCCATACTCACTAATGGAGATTTATTCTGCAGGACAGTTTGGATTTTAGGTAGTAATAGCAGCTACCTTTTTTTTTATCCAAGCATTTCTTATGTACTGAGCACTGTGTTAAGCACTTACTAAATGTTATTGCTAATCACAATTCTGGTGAAGGTATTGCTTACCCTTTTTTACACATGAGGAAACTAAACTTTAGAAAACTTAAGCAACTTGACTAGGATGAAGAGTTAGTAAATAGCCCAGCCCTTATTGGAGCCTTGGCTCTTTATCAGTAGATGTACTGTTTCCCATTTTAAGGACTCAGAAAACAGTAATACTTAAACACTACCAGTAGAATTTGAGGCATAATGGCTAGGTTTATAAGATTTTCTTTAAGTGAGAGATTGTAGTGCTTCTATTTATAGGGTGATCTCTGTCTGAGGTTCTTTTCTTTGTGGAGATAAACATATCAGAAACGCCGTCTGTTACCCACCACTGCAACCCCAATCTTTAAGCCCCAATGCAACTATGGAATGACTTGATACCTACCTTATGCAGGGATAACAATCTCCTCATTGCAGCCCTCTGCTTTTTCTCCTGGAGCAAGTCGTGCTGGATAACCATGGGTACTGGGTCTGACCAGCTAGGAGTCACTGCTCTTCTGAGGATGGCAGACTGTTAGGGTCTTTGGGGTTGAACACACAGTTTTATTGTTTTAAGCCTTCTCTGCATGAGCAGGCTTTGCTCATGTAAATTACTATTGAGAGGTAGGGGCTGAGGGTTGCCATTACTAGGGCAAATACATCAAGAGCCTGTAAGTTAGCTGCTTCTCTACAGTAGAATGATTCAAAGCGAAGTGGTCTCAGATCATTTCAGGTCCTTGGAGTATTTGCTATTGACTGAGCTATCATTTCCTACTTATGACCTGGAGCTATGCTAGTGTAGACCAGCGTCTTAGTGTCCTTAAGGGTCTCGAGTACTTGTAAATCTTCTACTGAAATCAGCTCACTAGGAGGGAATAGCAGTGGGCTACTCAGGGTCCTCCAAGAAGCCTCCAATGTACAGATCCCTACAAAGTGTTACTGTTTCTTCTCTGGCTCTTGAGCTATCCCCTCTGAGCAGGAGAGGAGGAAGCAGTGGCAGCCAGCTTCCTTGGTGGCTTCTTTCCTCCCTATGAATACCCAGAAAATTGTGTTACCTGTGAATATCCAGGCCTCCTACCCCCTCATGGAACAGATGGGGACATTGAGACCCACAGAAGGACATGCCTGATAAATATGCTCTATCCACATCAAATCAATGGATTTTCGTGGCTCCAAGATATGAGGTATGGTAATATTTAATTTGACGACATCAACATTCCTCTTTTTTATTATTATTATTATTTTTTGAGACAGAGTCTTGCTTTGTCACCAAGGCTGGAGTGCAGTGGCACAATCTCAGCTCACTTCAATCTCTGCCTCTTGGGTTCAAGTGATTCTCCTGCCTCAGCCTCTGAGTAGCTGGGATTACAGGCATGTGCCACCATGCCTGGCTCATTTTTGTATTTTTAGTAGAGATGGGGTTTCGCCATGTTGGCCAGCTTGGTCTTGAACTCCTGACCTCAGGCGATCTGCCCATCTTGGCCTCCCAAAGTGCTGGGATTACAGGCGTGAGCCACCACGCCCAGCCAAGAGTACTTTTTATTCAGTACATCTTTTCTGGTGTGTGAAACTTTACTAACCTTCAATCTATTTTTCTCATGTGGCTAAGGATTTATCACTTATTTCATCATCGTCATCATTGTCATTACTATTCAAAAACTTGAATTTCTCTAACACCTGCTAATTTACAGCATGCCTTCACATGTGCCATGAAAATTCAATTTCAAAACTCAAAAGAGGGAGGCAGGGCAGGATATTATTAACCTCGTTTTATAGATGAGTGACAGGATATAAAGATATTGAGTGATTGCTCAAGCGTCAAACCCATCCACCTGTGGAACTAAGTTTCTAGGACTCTCCACCACTTTATCTGCTCTAGAAAATATTGGCATGCTTTGCCCAAATGCCACCCTAGCAACCAAATTATTTTACCAACTATGCCACCAGCCGCATTGCCTGGCTTTCCGCTATTTGAGACTCATTCATTTGAGCTGCTGCTTTTGCTACAAATTCCTTGGAAAAAAATATCCCATTAAGCAGTACCTACCACTCACACATTCAATGTGATGCTTTTTTTTTTTTTTTTTTTTTTGAGATGGAGTTTTTCTCTTGTTGCCCAGGCTGGAGTGCTGTGGCATGATCGCGGCTCACTGCAACCTCCGCCTTCCGGTTTTAAGCGATTATCCTGCCTCAGCCTCCTAAGTAGCTGGGATTACAGGTGCCCGCCACCACGCCTGGCTAATTCTTTTTGTATTTTTAGTAGAGACAGGGTTTCACCATGTTGGCCAGGCTGGTCACGAACTCCTGACCTCATGGTCCACCTGCCTCGGCCTCCCAAAGTGCTGAGATTACAGGCGTGAGCCACCGTGCCCGGCCTCAATGTGATTTTTATTTATTTATTTATTTATTTATTTATTTGAGATGGTGTTTTGCTTGTTGCCCAGGCTGGAGTGCAATGTCGCAACCTTGGCTTACTGCAACCTCTGCCTCCTGGATTCAAGCGATTCTCCTACCTCAGCCTCCCGAGTAGCTGGGATTACAGGCGCCTGCCACCACGACTGGCTAATTTTGTATTTTTAGTAGAGACGGGGTTTCTCCATGTTGGTCAGGCTGGTCTGGAACTCCCAACCTCAGGTGATCTGCCGGCCTCGGCCTCCCAAAGTGCTGGGATTACATGCGTGAGGCACCGCATCCAGGTGATTTTTTTTTTTTTTTTTTTGAGACAGAGTTTCACTCTTGTTTCCCAGGCTGGAGTACAGTGGAGCAATCTCAGCTCACTGCAACCTCCGCCAAAGCGATTCTCCTGCCTCAGCCTCCTGATAGCTGGGATTACAGGCATGCACCACCATGCCCAGGTAATTTTGTATTTTTAGTAGAGACAGGGTTTCACCATGTTGATCAGGCTGGTCTCGAACTCCTGACCTCAGGTGATCTGCCTGCTTCAGCCTCCCAAAGTGCTGGGATTACAGGTGTGAGCCACCACACCTGGCCAGTGTGAATTTATGTATCTAAATTCAGCAAGTCAACTGCCTAGCCTTGGCCAGATATTAGAGAATTAAAAAGTCCAAATAGACTTTGGTTGGGGTGGAGTTTATCAAGGATAATATCTGCTGCCCAGAAACAGAGTGATGGTTGAAGAGTTGGGAATCCAGTGCTGGAGGGGAGTACTTGACAGGGACACAGAAAAGTAGAAAGTATGCTGCAAACACGTTTGCCAGCCTCCTTATTGGGCTCGCAGCCTGCCTTATCCCTTCCAGAATTGATGACTTCAGTAGCTGTCAGGGTTGGGGCAGAAATTTGTCAGCCTTAGTCTATTTGTCAGAACCTCTCCAGAGACACTGGAAAACATTCTTATTTCTGTGACAGTTTTTGGTAGGAAATAATCACATTCCCGTCAATATTAATGTGTTTTATAAGCCTTGAAATACATTTAAACATGAATTTAACCCTTCTGTGAAGACGTGCCACTTTAGTGGGATCTTTTTTAAATTAGAGGAGAGAGTGAAGGAGGGGAAAGGGCAGCTCTCATTAAATGGTGCTGAAAAGAAAAAAAAAAAAAACATGAAGCTTCCTCTACTCTGTTACAAAATCTCATTTAGAGCAGCCTCTGTTCTGTCTCCCCTGCTTTGGAAAATAGCCCAGGGAAGCTGACATGGACTCACCTTAAAATTAAGTGGAGTAGTCAGCTTTTTACAAGGATATTGCCTGTCCCCAAATATCTCCCCACTATTTGTCAACCGAAGTATCTTAAGTTCCACCATAATAACATCCTTGGGGTTTTTGAATGTATCAATACTCATTTGAGGGCAGGCACGGTAGCTCACACCTGTAATCCCAGCACTTTGGGAGGCTGAGATGGGCAGATCATTTGAGATTAGGAGTTCGAGACCAGTGTGGCCAACATGGTGAAACCCTGTCTCTACTGAAAATACAAAAATTAGCTGGGTGTGGTGGCACATGCCTGTAATCCCAGCTACTTGTGAGGCTGAAGCAGGAGAATCGCTTGAACCCGGGAAGGAGAGGTTGCAGTGAGCCGAGATCGCCAGTGCATGCCAACCTGGGCAACAGAGTGAGACTCTTTCAAAAAACAAAAATGAAACAAACAAAAACCTCGTTTGGAGGGGAATCTGAAACTGAAGCTAATATTTTATTATGGAGCTTCTCTAGTTTGAACTATAAGTTCAAACTAGTAGCATCAGTATCTTCTGGGAACTTACTGTAAGTGCATATTTTTGGTTTCACCCCAGACGTGAAATGTAGCTAGAGAGAGGCAATCTGTGTTTTAATAAGCTTTCAGGTGATTCTGATGGATGCTAAAGTTTGAGAACCATTGCCTCAGTGAGATTTTGTTTATCAGATACTTTTTATCCTGCATAGTAATTTATCATTATAGCTAGTTTTTTTAGCACTTACTACATGCCAGATATTAGCCCTTGACAAACGTTATTTACTTCTCAGAGTAACCTCACAGTGTGAATGTTATTATTTTCTTTATGTTTAAGATGAAGAAACTATGTCTGACATTAAGTTACTTACCCAAGTTTATTTAGCTAATGAGTGGTGAAGCCTATATAGTAGATCATAGGTCTTCTGGGTAGATGTGTGATTTTCAACCTTGTATCTACATTAATATCACTTGGGAGCTTATAAAAATCTCCAGATCAAGTTTATACCCCAAAACAATTACATCAGCATTTCTGGTGGTTGTGCACTTCATTAACTTTGGAAATCTTTCCAGATGATTTTAATGTGCAGCCAAGATTGAGAACATTTGTTCTGTACCCTGACTGCACGTTAGAACCACCCGAAAAGCTTAAACCTTGACGCTGAATTAAACTATTTGAATCTAATTCTCTAAAATGAGGCTAAAGATTCCCAGCTGGCCAGCGAGAATTGGGAACCCCTGCTGTAGAAAATGCTTTACCACCTCTATGGGCTTTAGAGAATATGGCCTATGGAAATCTTGATTGGTACTGGATGCCTGATGGGGACAGAGATGTCAGAAGGCAGCAAAGGCAAACTGTATTCACAGTGTTGCCAAGGGCATGCCTGCCCAAAGCAGGTTTGTGCTTTCTCTAATTATGGGTGTTTCTCCTATCCTTACACCCTGTTCCCAAAGGCAAGACTCCATTTGGTCCCTTACAAAATAAGCAGTATATAGTATAAAGTGCAAGGCTCTGAAGCGTAGGCATTTGCCACCTAAGCGACCATGGGCAAATCAGGGATCCTCTTTGTCCCTCAGTGTCTTCATCTGTAAAATGTAAATAATATATTACTACCATAAAAGTCTTCAGAGGGTCATTGTGTGGACTAAGGGAGATGATTCATGTAACATGCTTAGCACATAAAGTGTAAGTGTTCACTAAGTGTTAGTCTCTGAGCTTCAGTTTCTTTATCTGTCAACTGGGGATGAAAGTACCTACTCTACCTATCTCAGAAGGCTATTGCTAGGATGGATCAAAGAACATATGTATGTGAAGAGCACTTTGTAAACTGAACTAGGCCTTATACCTATAAGAGGTTATGAGTTCTTACCATTTCCCTTAAGGCAGATATAAAGAATCATTGCCAGACAGGTTAAAGGAGTCCCTAAAGTCATTGACTCTTGGGGCAAACAAAAAGAAAAACCTTTAGAAACCACTAGTCCTACATCTTCATTGTTCAGATGATACAAATGGAATTCAGGGAGGAAGAAGGACGTGTCCAGGTCACCAGAAATTAGTGGCACAGCTCAGGGGAGATTCCAGTATTGCTGATGCTAGGTCCTAAGCTTTTGCCACCATTTCACATTCTGTACTTCATTTTGTCCCTGTCTGCCTTCCTCCCCCACCACCCCAGCTCCCAAGCCCTACTCTTCATATCCTGAGCTATAAACACAGGCTGACCTGCCATGCACCATTAAACACCAGGACTACTTCTTTTTAGAGTCCATGATATTAATGTGATTAAGATTCCCCCTCACAGGCTGTGTAAAGCACAGGAACTTAGGGATCCTTCTGAACTGAGAAGTGAAGGTTGCATATTTCTAACAGTCTGTACTTTTGGACCTCATTCAACTAGTACACACTGCTTTAGTCTCCCTAACACACTAAACAGAAAACTTGCATATATTGAACAGGATATATCTCCCCATCCTTATCTAGTTTCCAGATAAGACATGATAGTTTTTGTTTCTGGTCAGATTTGATGATAGTCTAAAAAAATTATTATTTGATGGTTAGAGGTGGGCTGAGGGGAGGATGGTGTGTTTAGTCTTAAAGTTAAGGCCAGCCTTATGCCAGATAGGGCAGAGGAATTGACTTCCCATGCCATGTTATGTGTGGTAGCTTAAAAGTCTCACTTATGAGAAACTATCTCATTGATATTTAAGGTATGGTGCCTGAAAGCCCACAACAATTTATTTATTGTCACTACCCCATTTTGTACATGAGATTCCATGTGTGGAATTGCTCAGCACCTACCTACCAATAATTTTTAAAGAGCAAAAACTAAATCCACCTGCATCCCCTTTTTCCCTCTCTGTCCCATACACTAAAAAGTTAAAAATAATAAATACATGATTTAAAAGTCAGCATCTGTAAAGATTTCCTTTACGATTAATCATGAGAACCCTTAATTTGCCCTCTATCTGTGTTACAAATTAGTTTCAGTCTGTTATAAAAGACTAAAACGAATTGATATGACCTGCAAATTAATAAAATTTATGACATTCACACTAACTTTTCTTTAAGAAGTTAACAAATAGAATCACTTTGAACATCCCCAAAGGCCTGTCCTCTCATCTTCTGCAGGCATACATAGTTTCCATGATGAAATGTTAATGTCCTGATTTCTGTTGATTTGTTCAGCAGGTACCTAGATTTATTGAGGCCATAAGAATGGCTAAACTATTTAGTAAGGAGGAAGGGTGGAGAATGCTGTTAGAAATCCTGTTTTATTTAGACCATATACATTCATAGCCCATGGATCATTTGTGTACCCTTTAATGTTTCAGCGTTTAAATTCTAAACAACTCTCCTTTGAAGCAACTGTATTCTAAGTTCTAAATATAGTTGCTTCAAAGGAGAGCCAGCTGGCAGGATATGATGACTATATGCTCACATTTTGATAGCCTGGAATCAGTGGTAAATAGGACTGGCTCTTAAGAGTCTATGTTTAAATTTTCAGAAAATGTGAGCTGGTTGACATCAAGTAGCTTGAAAATGGCTATGGTGGGAGCACACACACAACAACACATCAGGGCTTTTTCATTTTATTTGTTTTCAGAGACTCAGTTGTAAAATTTTATTAGCTTCTGCGTGGATTCAAAATGTTCATTTGTTTATTGATATATACAAGCAAACATTGTGAAAATAGCGTTTTTTACTTCCTTTCCCAGCATCAATTGTATGATATTAATCACTCCAGTTTTCACTTGATAAATGGTAGCACTGTATACCGATTTCCATCCTTTTACATTTTAACTTATTTATGTATTTATATTTGCAGTGAATTTCTTGTAGGTATATCCTCGAGTATTGTTTTTCTTTATCCAACATGACAACCTCTGCCTTTTAATTGGGGCATTAAAAGACTATGACTAATTGGGGCATTAAAAAACTATTCTCATTTAATGTTTCTAATGATATAGTTAGGCTTAAATCTACCTTTTAGTTTGTATTTCATTTGTCCCATCTCTTAATTGTACCTTTTCATTTTTTTCTGCCTTCATTTGGATTGAGCATTTTTGCGATGTCATTTTTACTCTTTTGTTGCCTTGTTAGCTATAATTTATTACAGTCTACCTTAAAATATATATTAGTTCATGTATAGTATAGGAACTTTGCCTTTGTTTACTTTCATTTTTCCCTCTCCCAGCCTTATTGCTATTGTCATATATTTTACTTCTACATATGTTTTCAATAACACATTACATTTTAATTATTTGTCTAAAGACAGTCATCTTTTAAAGACATTTAAATAAGGTATATATATATATATGTACATAGAGGGATATTTTCATGTTGTTACCATTATCACTGCTCTATATTCCATTATATAGGTACATATTTCCATCTGGTATTGTTTTCCTTCTGCCCAAATCATTTCCTTTGATGTTTCTGGTAGCTCAAGTCTGATGGTGATGAATTCTTTCAACTTTTATATATGTTAAGAAGTCTTTATTTCATTTTTGAAAAATATTTTATTTAGTGTAGTATTATAGCTTTGTATTTGTCCATTCTCACACACTACAAATACATACTTGAAATTGGGTAATTTATAAAGAAAATAGTTTTAATTTGCTCATGGTTCTGCAGGCTGTACAGGCTTCTGTTTCTGGGGATGCCTCCCGAAACTTACAATCATGGTGGAAGGCAAAGGGGAAGGAGGCATGGGTCTTATGTGGCCAGAGTAGGAGGAACAGAGAGAAGGGGGAGGTGTCACACACTTATAAACAACCAGCTCTCATGATAACTCACTCACTCTCACAAGAACAGCAAGGGGGAAGTCCTCTCCCATCATCCAGTCACCTCCCACCAGGCCCCTCATCCAACATTGGGAATTACAATTCAACATGAGGTTGGGGAGGGGGATACAAGTCCAAACCATGGACGTCCTCCCCCATGATCCAGTCACCTACCACCCGGTCCCTCATCCAATATTGGGGATTACAATTCAACATGAGATTTGGGTGGGGAGGCACAAATCCAAACCGTATCATTCTACCTTTTGCCCCTCCCAAATCTCATGTCCTTCTCACATTGTAAAACATAATAATCACTTCTCAACAGTCCCCCAAAGTCTTAATCTATTTCAACATTAACTCAAAAGGCCACACTCCAAAGTCTCATCTGAGACAAAGCAAGTCCCTTCCGCCTATGAGCCTGTAAAATCAAAAATAAGTTAGTGACTTCCAAGATACAATGTGGGTACAGGCATTGGCTAAATACTCCTGATCTAAAGGGGAAAAATTGGCCAAAACAAAGGGGCTACAGGCTCCATGCAAGTCCATAACCCAGTGGGATGGTCATTAAATCTTAAAGCTCCAAAATAATCTTTGACTCCATGTCTTACATCCAGGCCACACTGATACAAGAGGTGGGCTCCCAAGGCCTTGGACAGCTCTGCCACTATGTCTCTGCAGGGCTTAGCTCCTATGGCTGCACTCAACAGCTGGTGTTGAATGCCTGTGGCTTTTCCAGGTACGCAGTGCAAGCCATCAGTGGATCTACTATTCAAGGATCTACTATTCTAGGAAGTGTCCCAGTGGGGACTCTGTATGGGGGCTCCAACCCCACATTTTCCCTCCTTACTACCCTAGTAGAGGTTATCCCTGAGGGCTCTGCCCCTACAGCAGACTTCTGCCTGGGCATCCTGATGTTTCCATACATCCTCTGGAATCTAGGTGGAGGCTTCCAAGACTCAACTCTTGCTGTCTGCACACCTGCAGGCTTAGCACCACATAGAAGCTGCCAAGGCTTATGGCTTGTACCCTCTGGAGCAGCAGCCTGAGACATATCTGGGGCCCTTTTAGCCATGGCTAGAGCTGGAGTGTCTGGGACACAGGGAGCAGTGTCCCAAAGTTGCACAGGATAGCAGCACCCTGGGCCCGGCCAATAAAACCAGTCTTCCCTCCTACGCCTCTGGGCATATGATGGGAGGGGCTGCCACGAAGGTCTCTGAAATGCCTTGGAGGCATTTCCCCCGTTGTCTTGGCTATTAACATTTGGTTCCTCTTATGAAAATTTCTGTAGTTTTCTTGAATTCCTCCCAAGAAAATGGATTTTACTTTTCTGCCACATGGTCAGGCAGCAAATTTTCCAAAGTTGTATGCTCTGCTTTCCTTTTAAATAGAAGTTCCAGTTTCAGATCATCTTTTTGCTCATGCATATATATATACACTGTTAGAAGCAGCCAGGTTATATCTTGAATGTTTCGCTGTTTAGAAATTTCTTCTGCCAGATGCCCTAAATCATCACTCTCAAGTTTAAAGTTACATAGATCCCTAGAGCAGGGGCACAAAGATAGCAGTCACTTTGCTAAAGCATGATAGTTCCCAATAAGTGCCTCATCTCCATCTAAGACCTCATCAGCCTGCCCATCTCTGTCCATATCACTATCAGCATTTTGGTCAAAACCATTCAATAAGTCTCTAGGAATTTCAAAATGTTCCCTCATCTTCCTGTTTTTCTGAGCCCTCCAAACTGTTCGAACCTCTTCCCATGACCCAGATCCAAATTTACTTCCACATTTTCAGGTATCTTTATAGCAGAGTCCCACTCCTAGGCACCAATTTTCTGTATTTATCTATTCTCACACTGCTATAAAGAAATACCTGAAACTACGTAATTTGTAATTTAAAAAGAGGTTTAGTTGACTGATGGTTCTGCAGGCTGTACAGCCTTCTGATTCTGGGGAGGCCTGAGGAAACTTATAATCATGGCGAAAAGTGAAGGGGAAGCAGCACATCTTACATGGCTAGAGCAGGAGGAAGAGAGAGAAGAGGCAGGTGCTGTACACTTTTAAACAACCAGATCTCATGAGAACTCACTATCAGAAGAACAGCAAGGGGCAAGTCTGCCCCAATGATTCAATCATCTCCCACCAGGCCCTTTTACCAAAATTGGGGATTACAATTCAATATGAGACTTGGGTGGGGATACACATCCAAACATCAAGCTTGATTGCTGTTTTTTGTTTTTTCTTTCTATACTTTAAAGATGTTACTCCAGTGTCTTCTGTTTGCATCATTCCTGAGAAGAAAAATGCTGTCATTCTCATCTTTGTTCCTCTGTATGTATTGTCTGTTTTTTTTCTCTTGGCGAGTTTGAGATTTTCTCTGTATCACTTTTTTTTTTTTGCAATTAGATTAGGGTGTATTTCAGTGTAGTTAGTTTTCTTCATGTTTCTTATATTTGGGTGTCATTGAACTTCTTGCATGAATCTGTGAATTTGTAAATTTCATCAGCTTTAGAAAATGTTTAGCCATTATGTCTTCAAATATTGGTCTGCCTCTCCTTTCTTGAATACTGTAACTACACATATATTAGGTCTCTTGAAGTTGTCCCAGAGGTAGCTGATGTTTCTTTTCACTCTTTCAAATTCTTTATTCCTTTATGAGTTTCATTTCGAATTTTTTGTATTACTCTGTCTTCAAATTCACTAACTTTTTGTTATGAGAGGTGTAATTTTGTAATTTGCTGCTTATCCCAGCCAATGAATTTTAAATCTCAAGCATTGTAGATTTCATCTTCAGAAGTTTGACCTGGGCCTTTTTATATCTTTCATGTCTCTACTTAGCTTACTAAATATATGGAATACAGTTATAGAAACTGTTTTAACATCCCTGTATGCTAATTCTAACACTTGTTTCAATTCTGAATTACTTTTGATTGGTTGATTTCTTCTTAGGGCATGTATTTTCTTCTTTTCATGACTGCTAATTTTTGGATAGATGTCAAATGTGAATTTTACCTTTTTGGATACTGGGTATTTTTGAATTTCTATAAATATTCTTAAGCTTTATTCTGGGCCATAATTAAATTACTTGGAAAGATTTTTATTATTCTATGTATTTGTTGTCAAATTTGTTAGGGAACCAGAGTGGCCTTTAGTCTGTAGTCTAGATTCAAGTCTCATTATTCCCTACAAGTGAGGCAAGCTCAATAAGTCAATAAATCAAGCTCAGTCAATAAGTACCTTATTGACTGAATTGTGAAGTTTTCCAATCTGGTAGTAACAGGAACTAATTCTAGCCATCTATGAACACTATTTTTTTTATCTATCTTTTTTTCTCTAGTAATTTCCTTATATGCATACACTGATGAGTACTCTACTGAATATTCAAAGGGTATCTTCTGCAGTTCCCCAAAGTTATTTCTCTGCAGCTCTCTCCTCTCTGGTATTTTGTTTTGCAGACTCTACCAATTGGTTCTCTTTGGACTCTCAGCTTTCTTTCCTCAACACAGGGAGTATGTTCTGCCAGAGTTCCGTGTCCTTATTTTGTGGCCTGGAAACTCTGATGACAGTAACCTGGACAATCATAGGGCTCACCTCATTTCTTTTCCGTCTTTCAGGGATCACTATCATTTTTTGCCTGATATCCAGTGCCTTAAAAACTTGCATTTCGTATATTTTATTTGGCTCTCTTGGTTGTTTCAGGTAGGAGAGTGAATCTGGTCTCTGTTACTCCATTTTGACCAGATATGGAAGATGAGGAAACTGAATGTGATCTGATATTCAAGATAGCTGCTTTGCAGTATGTCCCTCCATGGTTATACAGGATATTGACTTCAGCGTGTATGTGGTCTTGAAGGCCACTTAGGATGAGACTGATTGCAGGAGACTAAGGATATTGGCTATGATATCTTCCATATTTATAAGGTAGGGTATGGCTTACAAAATGCCATAATATAATTTTTTTTTTACCAACATCTATTCCTTCTTTTTATAGTCACCACACATTGATTTTTTTCTGGTAAACATCCCGTTTTCACTCTCTGTCTACGTGGGTCCGGCAGGGATGACATCACTCTGAAACAAGCAGGGTTATCACATGACCCAGATCTGACCAACCAGAATCATTGCCACCTAAATCATAGATATTTAGTTTAGGGATGGGCAAATTTGTCTAGGATTTAACTCCCTAATTTTTGCTGGATCTGTTGGAACGAATCCATTTCATTCCACTGGATTTGTAGTTAGTCAGATATAGGAATAGAGCTACTGAAGGCAACCCCCATGCCCAGTCATACATACACAGAAAGAAAAATAGAGACCAACTCCTTTTGACATTTTTGAGACTCTGGATTTTCCTAGAGTTTTCAATTATGAATGAATTCCCTTTTTTTTCTAAAGCCAATTTGAGTTGGGTTTCTACCAATTGCACATAGAAAATTCTGACTCATACATAAGTGATTATTGTCAGAGATAAGGGAGATAAATAATTTCACCAATGCTTGAAATACAAAGTAGAAAGTATTCACTCCTACATGATTTCAGGGAAAAGAGAAATTGTAATAAAATATAGAAGTATGATTTATTGTGTACCTATGCTAAATATTGTATATACATGTTCTCATTTAATCCCCAGGTGAGCCTGAGTCAGTAAATATTTATTTTTATTTAATTGATAAAGAAACCTAGCCTTGGAGAGATTAGGTAATTTTCCTAAAATCATGCAGCTAGAAAATGGCAGAAGCAAAGATGTACACTCTCTGTCTTGCTTCAATGTTTTAAAACTTCATTAAATCTTCAGTGTGGCATTGAGGAATCTGAGAGGGCTTTGTGAAGAAAATGGACCTTGGAAGATGAGTGTTGGAGTAAAGAAAGGGTATTCCAGGTAGCAAGAAGGGCAAGGACAAAGGGACAATGTTAAATGTCCTGAATTTGATTATTGTACCATTATTATGTAAAATTCTGTGCTTGTTCTTTGGAAATACACACTGAAATATTTAGAAGTGAAGAGTCATGATTTTTGCAATTTACTCTTAAATGATTCAGTAGGAAAAACAAAAGAGCAATAATTACTTTTTAAAAGAAAGCTCTCATATAATTTGAAAGTAAAAAGGCATCAGTTTTCTGTATTTGACTGAAGCCACTGGCTGTAGCAAAAAAAGCCACATTTTCTTGCCCCAGGCCTTACAGCTGGAAACTGACAGGGCTGGAACAGAAACCTATGGTTCCTGCCTCTTACTCTGTTGTTTAAAAGTGGGTGTGATGACATCTAAGTTTAAGAAATTTCTTTTCATTTGTGACCTATGGAAAATGAATCCTAAAATAGGGGTGAAAATATTGCTGGCATATTTCTCAAATTTTGTTGACGAAATCATGTAGATGAAGGCTTTGCTAAATGTCTCAAGCAAATGCAACAAATATAATTTCCTCATTAAGCTAATTCACAATGCATCTTGCTACTCTTTACTATGCATGAGATGCCAGATGTTGCCAAACAGGGACTGTCAAAACATGGTGTGTCTTCTTTAGGGAACTGAATGAATCACAATTTATTTGTTTCATCTTTATTTTTTTCTCTTAAGAAACATTATTGCATTCACCCTCATATAAAATGCACAGATTGTTGTTTGAACAACGTCCAGTAAGAGAGCATTGAGAATCTCAGGCGTACATAGACAGAGTGTATATTTAATTTGGGAATATCTTCCAAATAAAATATTATTTGAAAACCTAATTGGACACATTACAAATGTATATCACTGTGATTCTTTGTAGAGAACCTTGGGAATCAGGAAAAGTTACAGATTTACAAAATGTTTTTTGCAGCACACACAAAGCATGAAATATGCCAGCCACTGTTAAGACACACACTGTTTAGTTCATAATTCCATAATAATGTGGCATTCATTAAATTGTTTTTAGAGTTTGCTTTTGATTTAAATTGGAACTCCGTATTATCTCCCTTTGATCATCATAATGCATAGTTCTCAGATGCACAAATTAAATAATTTCCCATCAGGTTATTTTTTTAAAAATGAGAGAGAGGGAAGGAGAAAACAAAACAACTTGGAAGAGTTCTCTCATTGTTCTTGGGTCTCCTTGGGTAGCCAAAGACTGAATGCCCCAGAAACTTCAAGACAGTTGGTAACTATATTGAATGTTGGAGAGTTTGTCACACGTGTGTATGTTAAATTAATTCCCTTGGACAGTGAGCAGCAAACAGATTAGGTGACCTAAATGGAACTGAAGAATGGGCTCCTGCAAATCAGTGTTGGTTAATAGAAATACATCTTGCAGGTATGTGGGGACAGGCAGCAGGGTGGAGTGACAGCAATACATGGGAGCTGAAGGGACTATTCATATCTCCTAGAGTGACTGACCTCTGTTCCCCTACATGAAAGCCAAACAAGAGGCAAACAGGAGCTGAAAGAATCAGGAAGTCACAGAGATGCATTATGCAGCACTGATAAGGATGCTTCCAAAAGTTTGATTAATGTTGGTTAGTTGATGAAAATGAGACATAGCAAAGTAGTACAGTCATGAAATCTGTCTAGCAGAGACCAGTGAAGGACAACATCTGCCTGCTTTAATTCCACTGATGTAGGGGAAAGTGGGAGAAAGAAAATGATCATATTCTCTCTATTTCCCTCCTTCTTGATAATTGATGATCTGAAAGTTTTCTTTCTTTGGCTCTTTCCTATGTGAATTACTTATCACCACTACTTGACCTCACCTCCAAGAAAATAAAAAATTAAGGAAAAATAGTACTGTGACCCCTATTACATTGCAATATGATTCTATGTGCCATAAAGGAAAACCAAGTAACAAGGCCCAGATGCTATTAACAGGACAACTGAAACCCAAGGCTTGCCCTGACTTTCTTTCCTAATCTGGTGTTTTGAGAGTAAAAAGAACAAATGAAAGAAAATGAAAAAAAGGTGAAAGAGAAAAAGAAAACCAGGGGAAAAAAAAAACTAGCAGACAATGGAAAACCTTTACTTTTTAGTCATTTTCTGCTACTCAGTTTTATCAATTGAAAATTACGGGCCATTTCCTTCCTGGACAGGCTTTCTATTTCCTCATTGGTGAAATACACTTTTGTATGCATGGTGTGCATGCTATTTATCAAGAACTTGAAATTGATCAAGAAACGGATAACAACGAATTAAATCATATTTGTGGTTGTACATTATGCTGAACCTAAAAAAGTTACTGGCAAGTCTAAGTCACTTATGTTTTTTCTTAAAATAGAAAAAACAAGGTGATTGTATTGAGGAAAGAAAAGGGAAGGCCATTAGCAGAGGATGAAAAAGTACATAAGAGGTAAAGGCTGCGAGCAAAAGAACTAGACAATTATGAGAGTTCAAATCTAGGTCCCTTAGAGTTAATTTAGTTGAATGGAAAAATCATAAGCCAGAATACCTAGACCTAGTCTGTGCTTTTGCTCACTGAAGATGTGATCTTGGATAAATCATTGAACCTTTGGCAAAGGGCCGCAGTTTCATCATACATGAAGTAGAGAATATAAGCTATTTGTTTACCTCAATTATGGAGTACCAAAAATATTTACAAAGTCCTTATTAAAAACTTAAAGCCATGGCCGGGTGTGGTGGCTCACACCTGTAATCCCAGCACTTTGGGAGGCCAAGGCGGGTGGATCACAAGTTCAGGAGATCGAGACCATCCTGGCTAACACGGTGAAACCCCATCTCTACTAAAAATACAAAAAATTAGCTGGGCATGGTGGCGGGCGCCTGTAATCCCAGCTACTCGGGAGGCTGAGGCAGGACAATGGTGTGAACCCAGGAGGTGGAGCTGGCAGTGAGCCGAGATCACGCCACTGCACTCTAGCCTGGGCAACAGAGCGAAACGCCGTCTCAAAAAAAAAAAAAAAAAAAAAATTAAAGCCATATAAATGTTAATGGTATGCTTATGATTATGATTATTTTTACCACACTGATAAAGCTCCCTTTGAGCAGGTGAGAAGCTAGGTCTTGTCCTGCTCTGGAGCCAACAGAAGCTAGAATAAAACAGCTAATGTTACTTAAATACTTGTCAGGGGTCAAGAACTGCAGTAAGCCCTTCGTGTGCATCAAATCATTTAATCATTACAACTCTCTAAACTAGAAATATCGTTAGCCTCAGTTTATAGATAAGGAAACAGAATCAGTGATTTGCCCAAAGTCATATGTCTAGGAAGTGGCAAAGCTGTGATATTTTAGGCCTATGTCAGTTACCCTAAATTTGCTGCTTCCAAATTGAGATGGAGAACCCAGGTTAGATCAGGTTTCCTGAATGGAGTGCACTATTATCAGAGCCGCCCTAAGGAAAGTGGTTCCCATTTGGGGATTCCTTTCTTCAAATAATGCCTATTAGTATTAATGTGATAAACTCATTCATGCTGAGATGCTATTCCTTCCAAGAGTCTAAAGAGAGTAATGCTTAACCTGTAGAATGAAGTAATAGCAGTAGTATTAAAGACCTTGGAAGGAGAAGGAAGGAAGAGAAGGAAACTGAAGGAAGTGGAAGGATTTTGTGGCAGGGCCTTTTTCAAATCATGCTTATATAGACAGTTGCCTCCTATATCTACATTTATGCATGTTCTTAGCTCTTCAGAACATTAACATTAGTATTTTCTTAGCTTTCTAGGGTACAACATATTCATCTGGATTAGAATTATGCTCTGACTCTACTAACTGTGTACCCTCAGAGGAGTGTTAAACTCTCCTGAGCTTTGGCCTGTTTGCAAAACAAAAAGTAATTATTACCTTAAGGAGTTGTTTTGAGGATTAGATGAGACAATGTATGTCAAAGTGCCTGTTTCGTGCTGTTGTTCCTTTAATAACAATAACAATAACAGCTAACAATTTTATAGTATTTACTATGTATCAAACATTGTTATAAGCACTTAATTCCCATTAACTTACATAATCACAATGACCCTGTGAAGTAGATACTATTATTATTCCCACATTATAGATGAGGAAACTGAAGCACACAGGAATTGACATGCCTGAGGTCACACAGCTGTGAAGTTTCAAATAAGCAGCTTGGCTCTCCGATTGTTGCCTACCTCTAAGAATTTTCAAAAAACAAATCCATAAAAGAAAGGAAATTAAAGTTTTGAGTGATGAAAACACAGTTGGATTCTGTCTTACTGCTGAAGCTGAAGATTTTTGAAAGCACAATGGGTAAGCTCAGCAGTATCTTTTTAAAAAAATGAACAACAGCAACATTAACATAGATAACATTTATAAAGCCTTTCCTACGTACTAGGTCCTATAGTACCTCTCAGTAACCCTGACCTATAAAAATTCAATAGGTATTAATATTTGCTATCATGATTATAAAGCTCACAATCTAGTAGGATAAATACAACATGTATTAAATAATTAGAATACAAACTAGAAAGTGCAAAGTGATAAGAAACATTAAGAGAAAGTGATATTGGAGTTCAGAAGCAAGAGAGTCACTTTAAAGGTGAGAACTTACATGCTGCAGACAACTAAAGAAGGTTTAAAAGGGAACACAGTTTACAAGAAGAACTTGAAGACAAGGTAAGGTTTGCAAGATGAAGAACAGGAAGGGGAGACGAATTCTGAATAGAAGACACAGAGACAGTGAAATGAACAGAATGTTTTGGGAACAAATAAATCATTTTGTTTGTGAAGGGGGCTATAGGAGATAAAGTCAGCAAATTAGGATGAAGTTTGAAGGGTGGGAGATTTGAAAGTAAGGCTAATGACTCTGAACCTCGTTATGTGGGAAACAGGGAGGTATTGGATACTTTTTTAAATGCTCTTGTCAAGAAAGAGTTCAACTTCAGGAAAATTAATGCAACAAATGTGGAATGGATTAGATTAGAGGAGAAGGTAATAAAGGCAGGGAATCGGTCAGGCACAGTGGCTTACACCTGTAATCCCAGCACGTTGGGAGGCCGAGGGGGGCAGATCACTAGGTCAGGAGTTCAGACCAGCCTGGCCAACATGGTGAAACCCTGTCTCTACTAAAAATACAAAAATTAGCTGGGTGTTGTGGTGGGTGCCTGTAATCCCAGCTACTTGGGAGGCCGAGGCAGGAAAATTGCTTGAACCTAGGAGACGGAGGTTGCAGTGAGCCGAGATGGCGCCACTGCACTTCAGCCTGGGCGACAGAGCAAGACTCCATCTCAAAAAAAAAAAAAAAAAAAAAAAAATTCAGGGAATCTAGTTAGGTGGTTATTGTTGTAATCAGTTGACTTTGATGTACAGAGAAAGAGAGGCTTTGTTTCTGTGCCAAGGGATTGATTCAAATATTTCGTCAAATGCATTTACTAATTCTTACTATGTGCCAAGCACTTGTTGAGTTGAGCAGAATCCCTCTCCTGGAGGGGCTTAGTAAATTATAATTTAGTAATTGTAACTTTAAAACTCTGAAGCACATTCTATGAAAAAGAAGCATTGATAAACAGCATAAGATTGTGTTTTTTCAGGAAGCAATTTCAACTGTGCAGTCAGAGAGAAATAATTACTTAATAGAGACAGACAATATTCAAGCATGCAAATACTCATAAATACCCTGCTGCAACCCGTACTTAAATCCTGTATCCAGTAGATGGCGATTATAAGCTTTCATCTAGGCAACAAGTACCTTTCATCTCTTAGGATGCAGAAAGGAAAAGAGGAATGAAAGAGAATGGGAAGCAAGGGGAGAGGGAGAGGATAAGAAAAGGGAAGAAATGAAAGAATGTGGAGAAGGAGTGGGAGATTGGAGGGTGACAGAAGCTACACTTGCTGTTCAGAAGTCTCCCTAAGACATGCTTAGTTCAGCTCCATCTTTTCTGCAGTTAAATATGCAGTTAGCCTTGCTTGTGAGGAAGAAGTTTGTATTGCCTTCCAGGCAGATACCCATGAAGAGAGTATTCCTGTTCCATAATCCCTCCAACTGAGTTTAATAAAGAGAAGGCATAGCTGTGTTTGAAATACGTTGCACAGGCATTTTGACCCTTTGTAGCAAGAAATGTGGCTTGAAATATCTCCTAATTATTTTGCTCCCCAGGTATCTATCTCTTTCTTTCTAGTTCAGCTGAAAATCCTACCAGAGGAAGAGCAAAGTTGGAATGAAAAGTTCCCAATAAATTACTACAGGCATTTACTAAAGGCAGAAAAAAAAAGAAATACTGGTCAAGCTGACCTTTTTACAACCAGGTAGGGACCATCTCCAAAGGGAGAATCAGGCGTGAAAAAAATCCGACTTGTATGTTAGGTGTGTTCCATTAATGGATTGAGAATTATAGGGCTAAAGGTGAATAGGGAAAGAAGAAGAAAATAGAAGACCATCCTGCTTCTTTCTTAGGGAATGTGAATTCCTTCTACTTCCTTTTAGTGCAGTCAGAATATCTTGAGTTGCCATTGGATCCATACTCCTGAAAAGAAATGGAAAGATAAGGGGTTCAGAGGCTTAGAGAAATTTGTCAAGATATCCTAATTATTTTCTACTGGAAATTTCTGTAGGTCAGAAGTTCAACATGGGTTTCACCGGGCTAAAATCAAGGGCTATGCCCCCTTCTGGAAGCTGTAGGGGAAATTCTATTTTGTTGCCTTCTCCAGCTTCTAGAAGACACCTGTATTACTTGGTTCATGACTCCCTTCTGTCATATTTAGAGCCATCAATATTGCGTATCTCTGACCATTCTTCTTTGGTCACATCTAATCACAGCCCACAGAGTTCTCCCAATTTTAAGGATGTGTTGTTTTATTGGACTCACTCAGATAATCTAGGCTAATCTCATTGTTTCAGTCTACCTTATGATACTATAACAGAACACCTGAAACTGGGTAATTTATAAAAAAGCATATATTTATTTCTTACAATTTTGAGGGCTGGGAAGTTCAGAGTTGAGGGGCCTCATCTGTCAGGGCCTGCTTGTTCCGTTATCCCATGGTGGAAGGCAGAGGACAAGAGAGCAGGAAAAAGAGAGAAAGAGACTCATGGAGGGAGGGAGGGGTATATATAGAGATAGAAAATGCTAGCACAAGGCAGGTTGAATTCATTTTTATACCAAACCAATTCCTCTGATAATGACATTAATCCTCATGGATGGATTAATCACCACTTAAAGATCCCATATTTAAACACTGTTGCACTGAGAATTAAGCTTCCAACACATGGACTTTGGGAGACACATTAAAACCATAGCACTTATCTCAAGGTTTGTAACATTAATCATATCTGTAACAAAGCCCTTTTGCCATGTAAAGTAACATATTCACATGTTCTAGGGATTGGCAGAGGGAGAGAGAAGGATGGAGGGAGGCAGGAGAGAGAGAGAGAGAGAGAGAGAGAAAGAGAGAGAATGAATAACAAGTTCACATAATAGATGACCAAATATTGTAGTCTAGTATTATTATTCAACAGAACTTCTTGGAAGTAGGTATAGTAGGTCAGTCAGACAATCAGACAGGTATTTTGAATGCCTCTAATTAGAAGGCCATTATTTTTGGTGGTATAAACTTGACAGTGATAGATGAAGGTTAAGGGTAAATTAAAAAATAAATAAAAAGGTACAGTAGTCCTGCCTAATGTCGCACTAGATGGGATGATAATATTTATTCATCAGTTGCTAACTGTCTGGTATTATTCTAAGCATTTTACATGAAAACCTCATTTAGTCCTTCAAACTAACTTATACCCATTTTACAGATGAGGGAAATGAGATAGAAGTTATTTGACCAAGACCACACACTTATAAATGGTAGAATCAAGAACCCATCTGACTGACTCTGGAGTTCACGTTCTTAACCACTATATTCTACTGCTTCTAAGATAATTTGGCCTTTAATAAAGAACTAAAGAAAATTATACAACCATTTCTAAAAACCAAATAAACATGTGTAGCCCATAATGGTCTCCTGATTGTTAAGGGATAGTATTTCTTGTGTTGACTTTGAACAAAAATATGATTTTAAAGTATATCATTTTTACCCCCTTTCAAAGTTGGATAACTTGAAATAACCTTAAAGATTCCTTTATATTCAACTGGCATTTGTCTTAATTGCTATGTTAGCATCCATTCCCTACCAGGGATGATGAGAGGTAGCAGAAAAACAATTTTCTCCAGTACAATAGTTTCTGCCAATTTCATTTGAATGAGTTTCTCTGCATCCCTTCTAGGACAAAGCTTAAAGGCAAATGATGTGTTTGCAAGCCAAAGATGAGTGTAAAGTGGCTGATATAGGCATAACTCAGAGACATAGTATGTTGGGTTCCAGACCACTACTATAAAGTGAATATCACAATAAAGTGAGTCACAAAATATTTTTTAGTTTCCCATTGCATATAAAAATTATGTTAATGGCTGGGCACGCTGGCTCACGCCTGTAATCCCAGCACTTTGGGAGGCCGAGGTGGGCGGATCATGAGGTCAGGAGATCGAGACCATCCTGTCTAACACGGTGAAACCCCATCTCCACTAAAAATACAAAAAAAAAATTAGCTGGGCATGGAGGCGGGCGCCTGTAGTCCCAGCTACTAAGGAGGCTGAGGCAGGAGAATGGTGTGAACCGGGAGCTGGAGCTTGCAGTGAGCCAAGATCACACCACTGCACTCCAGCCTGGGCAACAGAGCGAGACTCTGTCTCAAAAAGAAAAAAAAATTATGTTTACAGGCCAGGTGTGATAGCTCACACCTGTAATCCCAGCACTTTGGGAGGCCAAGGCGGACAGATCACCTGAGGTCAGGAGTTCGAGACCATCCTGATCAACATGGAGAGACCCCATCTCTACTGAAAATACAGAATTATTTGGGCGTGGTGATGCATGCCTGTAATCCCGTCTACTCGGGAGGCTGAGGCAGGAGAATCACTTGAACCAGAGAGCCAGTGGTTGCAGTGAACTGAGATCATGCCATTGCACTCCAGCCTGGGCAACAGCAGTGAAACTCCACCTTAAAAAAGAAATAAAAAAAATTATGTTTACACTATACTGTAGTCCATTAAGTGTGGAGTAGCATTATGTCTAAAAAAATGTACATACTTTAATTTATAATACTTTATTGCTAAAAAATTGTAACACTCCTCTGAGCTTTCCGCAAGTCATAATCTTTTGCTGGTGGAGGATCTTGCCTCATTGATGGCTGCTAACTGATCAGGGTAGTGGTTGCTAATGATTGGGATGGCTGTGACAATTTCTTAAAATAAGACAATGATGATGATTGCCACATTGATTGACTCTTCCTTTTATGAAACATTTCTCTGTAGCATGGGATGCTGTTTGACAGCATTTTACCCACAATAAAACTTAGAATCTAAGTTGGAGTCAATCCTCTCAAATCCTGCTGTTTTATTAATGAACTTCATGTGATATTCTAACTCATTTGTTATAATTTCAACAGTGCTCACAGAATCTTACCCAGGAGTAAATTCCATTTCAAGAAACCACTTTCTTTGCTCATCTATAAATAAGCAACTCCTAATCTATTAAAGTTTTATTGTTAGATTGTAGCAATTCAGTCACATCTTCAGGCTCTCCTTCTAACTCTAGGACACGAAAACAACATAAATCTCCCTGTATATCTCTATTAGTGCTCTTGGGTGACTAAATGCATTGTCAGGGAGAAATAATATCTTGAAAGGAATCTTTTTTTTTTTTTTCTGAGAAGCAGGTCTCAACAGTGCACCTAAAATATTCGCTAAACCATGTTGAAATCAGATGTTCTATCATTCAGGCTTTGTTGTTCCATTTAGAGTGCAGAGGCAGAGAAAATTTAGCATAATTCTTAAGGGACCTGGGATTTTCTGAATGATAAATGAACATTGACTTTAAGTTAAAATCAGCAGCTCCATTAGTCCCTAATAAGAGTCAGAATGTTCTTGGAAATTTTGAAGCTAGGCATTGACTTCTCCTCTCTAGTTATGAAATTCCTGGATGTCATCTTCTTATAATAGAAAACTGTATTGTCTGCACTGAGTATTTGTTGTTTACTCTAGCCACCTTCATCAATTGTATTAGCTAGATTTTCTGGATAACTTGCTGTGGCTTCTACATCAGTACTTGCTGCATCACCTTGCACTTTTATGTTATGGAAACAGCTTCTTCCCTTAAACCTATGAACCAACCTCTGCTACCTGTATGCTTTTCATCTGCAGCTTCCTTGCCTCTCTCAATTGTTAATCGGGAAAAGTATGAATTAGAAAAGGAGAAGAGACTTTATTTCTTATAAGGCATATAGCCTAAAAGGTGGCCATCCCACAGGCTGGGAAGCACAGCCTGCAGCCAAGACCAGAAACAAGCACTTCAAAGAAGGAGGGGTTGGAGTAGGAAGTTTATGCTAAAGAGGCTAGCTAAACATACATACTTGACAGGTTACAGGAGGAGCTTTGAATATTCATGAAGGTGGTCCTGACACTTCCATACTGAAGAAACATGCATGTAACATATAACTAATGTTCACTTTGGGGTGGAGAAAACATTTAAATTTATTACAATTAGGTACTATACATCAAAAAGTCTTTTCAGGACATGAAGGCACATGAGTGTGCAACCTCTGAAAACTGGCCAGAGCCAGTCCATGGTCAGTGGTCTCCTTACCAAGATAAAGTTATTGAAATCAGTCTCTTTTCCAGTGAAATCTATAGTTGTGGCTAGTAGAACAGAGGTTTGGTTAGCATCTGTGAACTGGATGAGTTGTAATTGTTTTAATATTGCCTATCTCGAGGCTAGTGCTTGTTTAGTTGCTAGAGAAAAAGAAAAACCTTGTGGCAGTTAGAACATAGTTTATTCTTTACATTTAAGGGTATGTGACTTAACCATTGTCTGGCATGGGCTTAGGTCCCTTATAATTTGGTATCCTATTGCCAAAAAGAGTGTGTTCCATCAGTCTTATGATCTCTATTTTGGCATAAATGTTGGTCAGTTGTTGTGTCTAATCTGCAAAAGGGAGGAAGTATAAGGAAGCCTGTCTGACCTCCTGTCCCATCATAACTGGGAACTTATTTTTAAGGTTTTTCTGGGGTCCCTTGGCCACAGTGGGGTCCATTCAGTCAGTGGGGGGCTTAGAATTTTATTTTTAGTTTACACAGCCTACATATCATTGAAGAGATTTAGGGTCTTGCTCTGAAGTAGGCTTTGACTTGAGGGAATGTTGGGGATTGTTTGATCTTCTATGCAGACCGCTGAAACCACCTCCATATCAGCAACAAGGCTGTATTTTTCTTATCATTCATGTGTTCACTGAAGTAGGATTTCAGTAACTTTTCTTTGCATTCACATCTTAGCCGTTTGCCACAAGAGGCCTAGCTTTTGATCTGTCTTGGCTTTCAACATGTCTTCCTCACTAAGCTTAGTCATGTCTAGCTTTGATTTAAAGTAAGAAATGTACAACTCTTCCTTTCACTTGAACACTTACAGTCCATTGTAGGATTATTTATTGGCCTAACTTCAATATTATTGCATCTCAAGGAACAGAGAGACCTGAGGAGAGGAAGACAGATAAGGGAATAGCCCGTCAGTGCAGCAGTCAGAGCACACACAGCATTTATAGATTAAGTTTGCCATCTTCTTCTTCTTATTATTATTATTATTATTTTGAGATGGAGTCTCACTCTGTCACCCAGGCTGGAGTGCAGTGGCACAATCTCGGCTCACTGCAACCTCCACCTCCCGGGTTCAAGCAGTTCTCCTGCCTCAGCCTCCCAAGTAGCTGGGACTACAGGCGCACGCTGCCACACCCGGCTAGCTTTTTTTTGTATTTTAGTAGAGATGGGGTTTCACCGTGTTACCCAGGCTTGTCTCGAACTCTTGAGCTCAGGCAATCTGCCCGCCTCGGCCTCCCAAAGTGCTGGGATTACACGCATGAGCCACCGTGCCTGGCCCACCGTCTTATAAGAGTGTGGTTCATGGTACTCCAAAACAATTATAATAGTAACGTTAATTATAATCAATCACAAATCATAACATATAATAATAATGAAAACATTTGAAATATTATGAGAATTACCAAAATGTGACACAATGACACAAAGTGAACACATGCTGTTTGAAAAATGGTGCAAATAGACTTGTTTGATACAGGGTTGCCACAAAGCTTCAACCTAAAAAATGCTATCTTTGCATAGCACAATAAAGTGAAGTCAATAGAGTGAGGTATGCTTGTATTTACTTGCCACACAAATTAGAGCTAAGTTTAAGGATAGAGGAAATGATCTATACAATGTCTATCCTTAAGACAATAAAGGTCAATTTTTTAGACTTCCACTTGCTAAGTATAACTCTACTATTCCTGGATATCATGGCCTGCCATTCTCAAAGTAAAAGGTGAATAGCATGAGGCCCTATTAAACCAGCCCTGGGTTCTCACAGGTATTGGTAATGAGAAATAATACAGAAAATACGTCTAGTCAATTATTTTTTCCATCAAGATAGAATTATTTATTAAATAAAATAATTATTGTTTAAATTACTTACATTATTAAATATTTATATCCCATTTATCACAAGTAACTATTGGTTAATAATTTTTAGAAGACAATATGTGATTTCTCTGCTCATGCCCCCAGCACACCACAGCTTCCTTACAGAGAGGAGACCAGTCTGTCTCCCCTGTGAGCCTCTGACACACTGCTCTTCACCAGGCAGGGCCCCTCGCTTGGGCCCATAGTACAGCCACCCCACCCTGTTACAGTAGGTAGCTTAGTCAGACATGAGCAGAGCAGGAGAGAGCTCTGCCCTCCCCTCCCCTACCACACACACACCAGGAATGTCAGGCGACCATCAAGTGATGGTCAGGTGGTTAACTGTCTCTCTAAAATAATAATTGGTCACAGCTGAAACCAGGGAAAGGCAGTCTCCCAATAAATAGAAAAAAACCTGAAACTGGTGATCAGCATCCCAATAAGATCTCAGGAGTCAGGCAAGTGGCTCAGGCATGTACACTAAGAACCAAAATGGTTCAATTTAACCGGTATATGACCTCCCTCTAGGAATACTATACTGGTAAGGGAAGTTGATATGGTTTAGCTGTGTCACTACCCAAATCTCATCTTGAATTGTAGCTCCCACAATTCCCATGTGTTATGGGAGGGACTCTGTTGGAGATAATCCATTTCTGCCATACTGTACTCCTGGTAGTAAATAACTCTCATGAGATCTGATGGTTTTATAAGGGGTTGCCCCTTTTGGTTGGCTCCCATTCTCTCTTGCCTGCCACCATGTAAGGCATGCCTTTTACCCTCCGCCATGATCGTACGGCCTCCCCTGCCATGTGGAACTGTGAGTCCATTAAACCTCTTTTTCTTTATAAATTACCCAGTCTTGGATATGTCTTTATTAGCAGCATGAAAATGGACTAATATAGGAAGCATGCCTAAAGTGAACATGTGTACAACTCTAGTAAACATACTGTGCCTGTGGCCCCTCCCAAATGTGAGCAGGCCACTGCACATGTGGATAGTGCGTTGCAAGGGAAGAATCAGGGGAGAAGGGACGCAAGAACCTGGAAACATGCCAGCATATAAAACCCCAAGTCAAAAGGTCAGATTATACACTTGATCTCTCAAGTCACCTGCTTAGCCCTCTCCAAGTGTATTTTACTCCCTTTCATTCCTGCTCTAAAGCTTTTTAATAAACTTCCATTTCTGCTCTAAAATTTGCCTTGGTTTCTCACTCTGCCTTATGACCTTGGTTAAATTCTTCTGTGGAGGCAAGGATTGAGGTTGCTGCAGATCCATACAGATTTGCTGCCAGTAACATATTTTGGTGCTATGAGACTCAGGTACTTTTTACCACTAACATACTTTGGTGCTGAGTGACTTGGATATGGATACGTTCCCTAGTGGTAAGAGACCTCTATACCCCGCCTTCTTTGGCTGGAGGTATTCAACCCCTGTATACCTTTTTTCTTCTCCCTTTCTCTCTCCTGCTTACTAACCAACCCCAAAAATGATTCCTCTCAACCAAAAGTGGCTCTCCTCACCCTGGCTTATCTCTCAGCTCACCCTGAGGAGTGGCTTGTGGGAGTAGGAAGGACATTGGGGTATGCACCAAGTAGAAATGAGGCACTAATGGCCCTCCTGGACAGGAGGCTCACAAGAGTGGTAGGGCTAGCACTCAAAACTGTGCAATGTCTGGGGTTTCTTCTGCTTTTTCAACTAAAATGGTCTCTTTCTCAAACACCCACACTGCCTATTGCCGTGCTTTTTCTGTGTGTGTTCTGAAACGGCCTTGCACACTCTGGACCAACCACCCCAGGGTCAAATCCACCTCTTTGCATGCCATGTGACTTCTTAAACAGATACTGCCTGTTATTCATGCACCTGCAGCTCTTGCTGCATTTGCACAGCATCAAAGACACAGGCTGCCTTCCAGATATCCCCTGAGATTTATACTTGTTTTTACCCTACCAGTTCAGATGACCTCCAGCCCTTCCCCTGTCTGCTAGCACATTGCTGGGACAGACACTAATTGAAACTCAGGCTCTGCCAGCTCCTTATGACTTACCATATGCTTTTCATTCCTGTTATGCCAAGGGCTTCATTTTCTGGTGGCTTTTGAAGCAGTTTGTCCACCAGCATATGGCCTCACTCTGGCCCTTTAAGATCCCACCCACTTGCTTTTTTTGAGTCAGCATCTTTTTGGGAGGAAGGGAAATTCTCCCTTTGCAATTTGTATGTTCTTACCTCAAACCCCAAGTACTCCAAAGGTTACCATTTTGTATCAAGAGGGCAAATAAACGTTGCCCTCTCAAATCCAAGTGCTGCTATTTTTGCGAGCATATGAAGGCACTCCATGAGTATTCCTCATGGGGAAGGGAAGGTCAGCCCCCTTGTGGCAGTTTACTGAAAAATAAGCTTCTCCTTTACTTAAAGAACATGGGAATTGGGAATCCGAGAAAAGCGATAATTATTTTGTTGTTAGAATGCACTGAATGAGAGTCACTATAAGTTCATGAAGACAAGGATATAGGCAAGCCCAAGGCTGCAAGCACAAGAGACCAATAGGATAGAGACGAAGGTTGGTCCCAGGCTGACAAATTACTATTAAAACAGAGATGATAGCAAGGTTAGGGGTACAGAGTAAGACGAGTTCATCATGGAACCCCAAGGATGAATAGTTTGCCCACTGTTCACTCCAGTATATCAAGTTCTCAAGTGGGTAATTGTGATGAGTTGAGACTAAGGTTAAGGGTACACAGTAAGACTGATTCATTTGAGAACCCTAAGGAAGAATGGGGAATGCCCTATTAAGGATCAGAGGAAAGTAAGAGGGCATACCTTTTTCCCTTTTTTCCTTTTCTCTTCAGTTCTCTCTTCACAGATGGGTAATCATGTCTCCATACCACAAGACATGCCTCTCAGATCCCCTCAGATGCATCCCCCAGAACTGGGAAGTGTGATTTCTCCAAACCTTAAACAACTAGTTTTCCTTTGTAATACTATTTGGCCTATAAAATAAATGGAGGAAATAACAAAAGTCAGCCTTAGAGCCTGGTGCCCTTATACAGGAAATCCTCAAATTAGCCTCCTCTATCTCTTATAACTGAGAGTAGAATAAGGAGTACAGGGCCAAGGAAAAGGAGAAACACAGGGAAAGGAGGCAGACTCAACTGTTGGCTGCCCTGCAAGCCCACCAGCCCCCTTCAAATTGCCCTAAGGACAGTCCTCTAGGTAACTGCTATTGGGGCAGGAAGCCAGGCCACTGGAAGGCAAACTGTCCTAATGGAATAAATGGGAAAAAGCTGTGCATGACTTGCCCCCTCTACCACAAGCTCAGCCACTGGAAATGGGACTGTCAAGAGGGCCAAATGGCCTCTGGAACAGAATCCCAACTCCTGATGGCCTTCAGCTGAAGGGGCTCTCTGCTCTGTCTGGCTTCTAAATCAGACATCAGTGTCATCAATGGTACTACAAAGCCAAGGGCAACTCTGGAGGTGGCAAGTAAAATTATAAATTTCTCTTTTGGGTTCAAGAGCTGACTACTCTGTGCTAATTCTCCCCTAAGCAACTCTCTTCCAAATCCTGTTGGGTAACACGGGCATATAGCACCACCTCCCTCCAAAAGAAAAGATTCACATCTCTTTGGGGCAAAACCTCTACAGTACACAGATAAACTCCTTATCTTCTGCCCTTCACAGGACTTATACAGTAACATGTAGTTCAAACCATAACTTCCTAACAGAAGTAAAATTATTTTTGTCTAATCCAAAGGTTATAAAGGTAAAGGTATTTCTGGTAAGGAAAGTTATAAAGAAAAAGATTTTGTATTAAAAAAAAGGATCTTGTATGGTAAGTTATTGTCCTAAAATAAAATGACTTGTTGTTTAAAAAGAGGGATTTTAGGACAAGTCAGAAAGTCGAAGCATGTTATAGGTGG
The DNA here is from genome assembly GCF_000001405.40 of Homo sapiens. NCBI lineage: Eukaryota > Metazoa > Chordata > Mammalia > Primates > Hominidae > Homo > Homo sapiens. The sequence continues at coordinate 80,235,719 of NC_000023.11, read as the reverse complement.
TCTGTGTAAGTTATGAAAAAAATCATGAAACAGAAGTTATAAAAATGTACAATTTTAAAGGGTATTTGGTCTACTAAATGCTCCATAAACTGCTACTATTACTTAACTGTACAAATTGCCTGCTTTAAACCTAGGTAACGAATGGGGACACACAGAGTTAGCCATGCCTCTAGCTATACTGGAATCAAACCTTATCTGCACTTCTGTCTGGTGTCCTAGGCTCCAAACCTAGTACATAATTAGAATCACTTATTTATCAAGTTTTTCACCAAAAGTAAAAGTTGCTAAGAGTTAACAGTGTAACATGTACTTGAGATTGCTGGAAAAACAGCTGTACATGCCTGGTTTAGAGGGTTAAATGATTATTTTAAGTTAGATAGGATAAAGTTGAATATTTAAGCAAGTTGTGAAAGTTTTTTGAAAGATTAATCTTGTAAAATAAAATCTGTATGTAAACATATTGCCTAAAGTTAAAGGAGTATTATTCAGTTTTTCCATAAATTAAACACTGGAATAAAAGCACAACAGAGTTTTATTAAAGCATTAATCTACTCTTTATAAATGTGTTGTTGGTATGTGTTCCAAAATTATGTGAAACTCCTATAATTCTGATATAACAATATAAGTTATCAGTAATAATTATAATTGTTATATTATTATGCCATAGAGGTAACAAATATCCTTCTTAGTTGTATCTTTGACTATGGGTGCCCTAAGACTTTTTGTTATCCATAGACAGTTGTTGTTTTAATTCTATTTAAAAGGTGGTTTTTTAAAATCAACTATAAAACTCGTAACAGGTGCTCTTAAATGCAGGTTTTTGATAACTTCGGAGATTGTGACATTAGAATAGAGGAAAAACTTTCAGAACTCTCGTGGAAAGCTGAAATGTTTATGAATATCAAGCAGAACAGGAGTTAACTTCATGGAGTAAACTAATAAAAGACTAAATAATCCTTACAGCTTTTAACAATTGAGTAAAGTATGTCCCTGTAAACAAAACTTAGAGCATATTGTTTTCTCTTTACTTGATCTCTCCAGAATTTAGATACTACTTGTAAGTATTCTCAACTTATGGCAATATAGTTACTTGCCTTAGTGCAGTAAGAATCTATTTTCTTTTACACAGGACACAACTGGAGAAACTGGTTATTTTACCAAGGCTTTGACTGGAATGGCATAGTTTCAGGTTGCTTTAAGGAATCAACTTTGACTTATAAAGCCAATAAATACACCTTGGGAAAACTGGCCTCATACCTTGTCTAAATAGTCTCTGTACACAGCTCTTGACCTCTGGTAAGTAAAGAATGTTATTTTCCAGTAGGCCAAGGAGCCCCAAGTTATCTTGGGACCTCAAGAGGAGAGGAATTTCCCCAACTCATATAGGTAATTGATGACACTAACCCATGGCTGGGATTAAGTCTTCAAAAAAGTCTTATCTGATTCCTCATGAAATGAAGTTCCATCAAAGACAATTTAAAAGGGAGCCTATATGGCAAATAATTATTCTTGCTGTTGTTTATGCAAATAATCAGGCCAAGTATAATAAGACAAGTTTATTCTGCAAACTAATCAATCCTATCATGATATTTTTTAAACAAAGGAGGACTGGAAAGATAAAAATCATGTTTCAAGAACTATGGTATACTTATTATTAGATTCTAGTCTCATCAGTTGTTTTTGAGTTTTTGTCTGCAATTCAGACTAACCCTGCTTATTCCTGTGAACTAACTGGTGAACTCTGGCTACAACTCAGAAGAAACAAGAGGGATGGGTCATGCAAAAACCTGAATCAATGTTCTAATTCTGGGCAATAGAATAATTGGCTAGCAACCCCATGCACCCACGTCTTAGCAGGCATGAATATAGCCACCAACTACCGGGGCATGTCGGCAGCCTCGGGATTTTTTGGAGGTGTCATCTCCCCCTTATTTTGTTTTGACATTCTTCTCAATCTACTAACCTGATTTGTCTTTTCTTGCGTTCAGGCCATCAAGCTCCAAAAGATGCTCAGTGATGGATACTGTCCTCTCAATACTAGAGTCACACTTCTAGAGGGGACCCCTAGACTGCCCATCAGTGGAACATGACAGAGGCAAAATCTTGCCACTGTCTTCCTTGGGCCTGGGTGGCTACGACTTTCACCAATCCATGGAGCCACCCTGCTCTGACAGCTAACTTCTGTCAGCAGGAAACAATTACAGAAGACTGACTTACATCAACTTTCCCCAAAGAATTGGGGTCTTGGATTGTTGAGAGGGGACATGGTACAGTAAGTAGCTAGTCAGACATGAGCAGAGCAGGAGAGGTCTCTCCCTCACCACACACACACCAGGAATGTCAGGTGGTTTTTAAGTGTCTCTCTAAAGTAATAATTGGTCACAGCGTGTGCAAGGGAAAGGCGGTCGCCCAATAGGAAAATACTGAAACTGGTGATCAGCTTCCTGATGAGATCTCAGGAGCCAGGCGAGTGGGCTCAGGCATGTGCACCAAGAGGCAAAATGTTGGAGTTTAACTGGTATATGACCTTCTAGGGACATTTGACTGGTAAGGGAAGAACTCCTCAAGAGAGCATGCATACAACTCCAGTAAACTCACTGTGCCTGTGGCCTTTCCCAAGTGCTAGCAGGTCACTGCACATGTGGACAGCCCACCACAAGGGAAGAATCAGAGAAGGGACACAAGACCCCTGAAGCCTACCAACATATAAAAAACTCCAAGTCAAAAGGTCAAACTGTGCACTTATCTGTGAAGTACCCGCTTGTTCCTCTTACAAGAGTATTTCACTTTCTTTCTTTCCTGCTCTAATGCTTTTTAACATACTTTTAGGCCTGCTTTCAACTTGCTTTGGTTTTTCACTCTGCCTTATGCCCCTCAGTCAAAAGCCTTCTGGGGAGTCAACAGTAGAGGTTGCTGCAGACCTGTACAGATTTGCCACTGGTAACAACCCCTGGATGAACATTCCATTGGCAGTAGCTCTGTTTCTCTGAGGTGGAGTTCCCAGAAGCAACTGATAGTCCCTCTGCTCCTGCCTTCCACAGTACCCACCCTTGCTGCCCCCAGGGTGGAAGAGTCACAAAGAGCTTGAGTACTTTACTTGCACCTCCAGCATGCTACAGCCACCCTATAGAGAGGAGGTCAGACTGTGCTCCCATCAGCCACCCCCCAACCCCATCTCTTCACCAGGCAGGGCCCTCTGGCTTTGGCCTGCAGCAAAGAAGTGTCACCCCCAGCTGATCATTCCAATTTGCAGTGGCTCTGTGTTTCTCTGTCATATAGCTAGCTCCCAGAGACAAATGACAGCCCGTCTGCCATCACTGCTGCTGAGGTCCCGACCCCTGCTGCCCCCAAGCTGAGTAGAGAACAAGAAGCCTAAACATACCCCAGGGCTACTGTGCACAGCTTAGGAGTGCCAAATGGTGATCTGTGGCCAGCACACGAGCAGGAGAGGAACCCACACTCTCAGAGCCCTAAGAGGTTAGAGTCAAAGCTTCAGGAACTGTGCAGAAACACAGCATGCCTCCATCTGCAGGTTCCACCTGGGAAAGGTGTGGCCTATCTCCCTGTCATGGCCCCTGCCCATGGAAGTCCTGCAGCCTAGAATGCCTAACAAAAGAAAAGCGTATGCCATGCCAGTGATTGTAGGGAGTTCTTCCAAGACACAAGAGTGGACCTAGTGAGGGAGTCACCTCTCTCCACCCCACACCAAAGAGCACACCCGAAAGCATGAAGAAATACAGAGGAGCCACATGGTGTAATAAGAGCCTATTTACTGTTACTCTTAAGCACCATCTACTGAATTGCAGCCCGAACTAGAACACCAAAAATATTTTGCTAATATACTCATCTGTGAAACCAAGGGCAATATTTCAGCCACAAAAAAGGCCCACCACAGAGCCTTGGCCCTCTGAAAACATCCAGAAACAAAGCCAACTGACTATAATCAAATTACAATACAGTTGAAGGAATGTCAGTCCTCCCAGTTGAAAAAGAGCGAGCCCAAGAATTCTGGCAAAACAAATAGCCAGTGTGTCCCCCTACCCATAAACAAGTCCACTGGCTCCCCAAGAATGGTCCTTAACATTTTGGAAATGACTGAAGTGACAGACATACAATTCAAAATTTATATGGCAAGGAAGTTTCAGGAGAAAGTTAAAATTTCAATCCAAGGAATCTAAAAAATCCAATAAAATGAGATGAGCCGAAAGACAAAATAACCGTTTTAACAAAGAACCAAACTGATAGAGCTGAAAAACTCACTACAAGAATTTCATAATAAAATTGGAAGTATTAACAGCAGAATAGATCAAACTGAAGAAAGATGAGACCCAACCATCTGCTCTCTTCAAAAGACACGTATCTCATTTAGCAACACCCACAGGCTCAAAGTAAACGGTTGGAGAAAGATCTACCATGCAAATTAAAAAGAGCAGGTGTTGCTATTTTTATATCAGATAAACAGATTTTAAACCAATAAAAATTAAGGAGATTGTATAATGATAAAGCATACAATACAAGAAGAAGACATAACTATACTAAATGTATATTCAGCCGACATTGGAGCACTGAGAGTCATAAAACAGTTCTTTTTGACCTACGAAGACTTCAACAACCACAGAATAACAGTGAGAGACTTCAACACCACACTGACAGCATTAGACAGGACATCAAGGGAGAAAACTAACAAATTCTGGCCTTAAACTTGAAACTTGACCAATTGGATTAAAAAGACATCTACACAACACTCCACCCAACAGCCATAGAATATATAATCTTCTCATCTGCATATGGAACATATTCTAAGATTGACCACATGCCCAGTCATAAGGGAAGTCTCAAAACATTAAAAAATTGAAATCATAACAAGCACACACTCAGACCACAATCCTCACAGAATACTATGCACAACTATGTGCATGCAAATTAGCAAATCCAGAGTAAATGGATAAATTCCTGGAAAAACACAAATTCCCAAAATTAAGTCAGGAATATATTGAAACCCTGAATAGATCAATATAGAGCTCTGAAATTAAATCAGTAATTAAAATAAAAAACTACCAATAAAAAAAAAGCCCAGGACAAGATGGATTCACAGGTGAATTCTACCGGTGAACAAAGAAGAATTTGTAGTAATCCTTCTGAAACTATTCCAAAAAATTGAGGAGGAGTGTCTGCTCCCTAACTCATTCAGTGAAGCCAATGTCAGCCTAATACCAAAATCTGGCAGAGACAAAGTGAAAAAGGAAACTTCAGACTAATACTCTTCGTGAATATAGGTGCAAATATCCTCAACAAAATACTAGTAAATTGAATCCAGCTGCACATCAAAAAGTTAATGCACCACAACCAAGTTGGATTTGCAAGGCTGGTTCAATAAATCAATAAATGTGATTTATAATCAATAAATGTGATTCACCACACAAACAAAATTAAAAACAAATACCATATGATCATCTCAATAGACGGGCAAAAAGATTTTGAAAAAATTCAAGTTGTTCATGTCCAAACCCCTCAAAAAATTTGATACAGTCAAAGGTGGGCACAGTGTAAAAATAAATAAGGAAGGGTAGATATATGTAAAATAGGTGAAAGGTGGGGATCAAAGGAAAGCATGCGAAATGGGAAGACGGGTTTGCAACCTGGTCTGTGAATTTTACTTGTAACTTGGCCTTTAGGGTTTAAACTGTCTTTGGCTTGAAGATGGGATTTCACTGGGTACCTGCCCCTGTTTTAGGATTTCTCTGCCTCCTCCCTCTATCATTTCCCCCTCTGAAGAGGTACATGTAACTGCCGTTAGAACAGGGATGATGACTGATCTTAGCTGCTTCCTGCTGACAGGGGCATTGTTTTAGGGGCAATGACAATCAGATTTCTCTCAGAGGCCTATCTAAGGGTCCTCAGTAAAAGGGAGCCATTGTCTGAGGCTCTGGTTGCGTGACTGGAGTTTGTTGGCCTGTAGGCAAGAAGAAACAAATTTTACAAGGCTAACTATGCATGGATCAAATATGGGTATTATACAAAGAGGAGTTAAAGGGAACAAATCTAGTGTCAAAGATAACAGAAATGAGAAGTGAAATATACTAATCATTCTGAAAATAATATTGTGCCCCTGATGAAAGAAATTAAATATTGTATGGGAGCAATTAAACTTTAAAAAAGAGATAACTGTTGAGGGGAGTAGGTATTTCTGTTCGTGTTCAGGATTAATGGACCCTTGGTAAAGGTGCCTCATGGTGAAGAACAAAACAAAGGTAAGAACAGCAAGCATAGGCAAGACTATAAAGAGGATATCCATGGAAGGTCAATTATTAACACTTATCTTTTGTGATTTTTAGCTTGAGGTCCCAGATTTTTTCACATTGGTACTTTGGGTGCTCTTCTGGGTTGATGGAAGTGATGCTGTCAGCTTCCCCATGTGTTTACTTGAGTATATGAATCCAAGAATCTGTTCCAGTGACCTTCCCTGCTGTAGGAGTGGAAAGAAGTACAGTGTACTTCCCAATCTTCCCTCCCAATCTGGGCCTAGAGAGGGAGAAAGGAAGGGAAGTGCCTTTACCAGTACTAGGTCCCCTGGATTGAATATAATTTTATCATTTTGAGATTGTTATATAAATGAAAGTATATAGTGTTTAACCTTTTGAGATTGACTCTTTCACTAAACAAGATATCCTTGAGATCTTTGAAAGTTTTTCATGTATCAATAATTTGTTCATTTTTATTGCTGCATAGTATTCCACAGTATAGATGCACCAGTTTGTTTAACCATTCACCTTCTAAGAGGCAACTGCAATATTGACAGTTTTGGGATATTACAAATAAAGCTGCAATGAACATGTGTGTACAGGTTTTTGTTGTAAAAATAAGTTTTAATTTTTCTGGAATAAATGCCCCAAAGTGCAAATTACTGGGCCATATGATGTGTATTTTTAACTTTATAAGAAACAGTCATATTCTTCCAGAGTGGCTGTAGCATTTTCTATTCCCAACAACAATGTATGATCTAGCTTTTCTGAATCCTCACCTGCATTTTGTACTGTCACTGTTGTCTATTTTAGCCATTTTGATAGGTATGTAGTGATAACATAGTTTTAATTTATATTTCCCTAATGGCTACGCATATTGAACACCTTTCCAAGTGATTATTATCACATGTATATATTATTTGGTGAAAAGTCTGTTCATGTCTTCTGCCTACTTTCTAGTGATATAATAAACTTTATTATTTTTTGCATTTTGTTTTTTTCTTTAAAAAGAGTATTTCCTAACACCCACATTATATATCATGTACTTTCATTTAATGCTATTATAATCTTGATTTTTATTTTGAAGACTTTGTTTCTAAAGGAATTTTCTGAATTATGTGAGATATGGCTTTAATTTTATTTTTTCCAAATCAACAACCAATTGTCCCAATAAGTGAACAATTAAATACTTTATTCACCCCTACTCTGAAGACCTATTTTTATTATTTACTAACTATATATTCATATAATAAACTAATTGCTAAATATATTTTTATATAATCATAATACTAATTATATATCCTAATTATGTGATATACTAATTATATAATCTGTTTCCAAACTCTATAATTCTGTTGAGTTATTTGTTTAGTCTTCAACTGATACCACTCTGTTTTAATTTTTATGGTTCTATCACATGTCATAATACCTAGTAGAACAGATTCTGCTCCATGTGCCTTTTTTCCCAAACATGAATTGGCTACTATATATTTGCCCTAACATATGAATTTAAAATTAGTTTTTTTAAGAAAAAATGCTTATTGAGGTTTTGGTTGACATAGCATTGAAATTATGGCTTATTTGGGGGTAGGAGTGTTGGTATATTTACAATATTGTTTCACCCCTCCAGTAGAGTTATATCACTCTCAGTTCACTCAAATCTCATTTTATGTCATTGCTTGTCATTTTTCTACCATAGCACATTGGCTCTGAGTTTTGAAGATGAAGTTAAAGTTTGGTAGGCACAAGCAAGGTTAGAGCCTTCCTAGGTATCCCAGTTTAGCATGTGGTCGTCTAAGCTTGGAAGTTATGATGCAGATAAGAGGAGATTTCAGGTCTATGCAAGGACAAAGAAAGACTGATAGTGTGGTTCTTTAGTTTCAGACCCCCATGCACAACCCTGGGAGATTCTTAGAGGCACCTGTAGCTTCCCAGAGCTGATTGCAAGCTCTAATGCTAGAAGAGTGGGGCAAGACTGGGTGGGAAAATTGGCATCACAAATTTACCACAACCTGAGAAGATTTTTTTAAAGCTTAATTTAAATGATTAAAAACACAGAGAAACTGGATCAGGGCTTATCCTAAATAAATTAACACAGTAACAGAAACCAAATAATGCATGTTTTCATTTATAAATGTGAGCTAAGCATTGAGTACACATGGATGTAAAGATGGGAACAAAAAACACTGGGGACTACTAGAAGTGGGAGGAAGGGAGGAGGCCATGTGTGGAAAAACTACATATAGGATACTGTGCTCACTACCTGGGTGATCAGATCATCTATACCCCAGACCTCAGCATTATGCAATGTATGCATGTAACAAACCTGCACATGTACCCTATGAATCTAAAATAAAACTAGAAATGAAATATATATTACTCACTTCTATAAGGCATTCTAATATATACATTACAATGAAATACTCAGCAATACGTTACAATGAAATACTCAGCAACAAGTTTAATAAAAGTGAAAGACCTATGCACTGAATCCTATAAAACACTGATGAAAGAAATTAAGACACATAAAAATGAAAATGCCAGTCCTTGAGAGAAGCCATGGGACCTGAGCCCTGAAAAGCCACAGAGGCAGAGCTGCCCAAGGCCTTGGAAGCCCACCCCTTGCATCAGCATGCCTTGGAGGTGAGACATGGAGTAAAAGGAGATTATTTTGGAGCTTTAAGATTTAATGACTGCCCTGCTGGGTTTCATACTTGCGTGGGGCATGTAACCCCTACAATTTGGCCAATTTATTCCATTTAGAATGGGATTATTTACCCAATGTCTGTGCCTTCATTGTATCTTGGAAGTAACTAACTTGTTTTTTTATTAATATTTTACAGGCTCATAGGCGGAAGGGACTTGTCTTGTCTCAGATGAGACTTTGGACTTGGACTTTTGAGTTAATGGTGGAATGAGTTAAGACTTTGGGGGACTACTGAAAATGCATGATTAATTTTGCAGTGGGAAAAGAACATGAGAATTGTGAAAAGCCAGAAGAGGAATGATATTGTTTGGTTCTGGGTCCCCATACAAATCTTATGTCAAACTGCAATCCCTACGTGTCATGGCAGGGATATAGTGGCAGGTGGTTGGGTCAAGGGGGCAGATTTCCAATAAATATGAATTGGAAGAATTAATATGATTAAAATTTTCATACTACCCAAAGAAATCTACAGTTTTACTGCAGTCTCTATTCAAATTTTAATAAAAATTCACAAAAATGTTCACAAATAATCAAAAAGGTTTTATGGAACAACAAAAGATCCTGATAGGAAAAGCAGCCTTGAGGAAAAAAAACACTAAAATATCACACTACCTGATATTAAAATATACTACAAAGTTATAGTAATGAAAACAAAATGATAATGGCATAAAAATAGAACATAGGCCAATAAAACAAAATAGAGAGCCCAGAAAGAAATCCACATATTTACAGTCAATTGGTTTTCAACAAAGTTGCCAAGACCACAAAACATAAAGGATGGTCTTTTTAATAAGTGATGTTGAGGAAGCTAAATATCTGCATGCAGAAGAATGAAATTAGATCCTTCTCTTACACCATATACAACAATAAACTCAAAATGGTTTAAAGACTTAAACAGAGGATCAGAACTTTGAAGTTACTAGAAGAAAACATAAGGAAAAGATCCATGATACTAGCCTTGGCAATGAATTTTTTTTTTTAGATGTGACTACAAAAGCACAGGCAACAACAGCAAATTAACTGTAATTAAACCCAACTAAAAGTGTTTGCACAGGAAAACAAACAACAGAGGGAAGAGACAACTTACAGAATGAAAGAAAGTCTTTGCAAACCATACATCTTGTTAGGGGTTAATGTCCAAACTATATAAGCAATTTATATGATTCAATAAGAAGAAAGCAACCTGATTAGAAAATGGGCCAAATATCTTAATTTGGATATTCATCACCTCCAAATCTCATATTGAAATTTGATTTCCAGTGTTGGAGGTGGAGCATGGTTGAAATTGTTTGGATTATGGGTCAGATGCCTTATGAATGGCTTCGTGTCATTCTCATGGGATCGAGTGAGTTCTCACTCTTAGTTCTCATGAGACCTGTCAGTTAAAAAAGAACCTGATATCTCCTCCTCTCTGCCTTGCTTTCTCTTTTGCCATGTGACATGCTGCCTCTTATTCCCCATCCACCATGATTGGAAACTTTCTGTGAGGCCCTCACCAAAAGCAGGTGCTGATGCCATGCTTTTTGTACAGCCTATGTTGTAATTTATGTTGTAATACAAATGAAAACCACAATGAAATATCACCTCATGTCCATTACAATGGCTATGATATATATATAAAGATGATATATATATAAAGATATATATATATATATATATATATATATATATAAAGATGAATGATTACAAAAAGTGTTGAAACTGATGTGGAGAAAAGAAACTACACATTGTTGGTGGGAATTTGTAGCCATTTTGGAAAACATTATAGAGGTTACCTAAAAAATTAAAAATAAAAATACCATGTTATCCACCAATCCCACTACTGGCTATTTTTCCAAAGGAAATGAAATCAATATTTCAAATAAATATCTAGACTTTCCTGTTCATTGCAGCATTATTCACAATAGCCAAGATACAGAATTAGCCTGTCCATCAGCAGATGAACAGATAAATAAAATGTGATATCATTAACTTTTTATTTATTTATTTTTCTGAGAGGATGTGGAGTAAGATGGCCAAATAGAACACTCCAGTGATCATCTCCCCTCAGGAACACCAAATTGTACAAGTATCCATGCAAAAGACCCTTCATTAAAAAAACAACTAGACAAACAACAGCAAAACTGAAACAAAAACAAAAACCAGATGAGAAATTACATCATCTTGTTTTAACAAATGATAGGAGAAGCAGCATTGAAGAGGGTAGAAAGGATAGCCTTGCATTGCCTATAACACCCCTACCCAACCCAAGGTAGCACAGCACAGAGAGAATCTGTGTGCTTGGAGAGAAAAAGTAAAATGAGGGTAAAACTTTGCATTGGAAGTCAGTAACTCCATGTCACAGGGGAAGACAGCACTATGAAAAATTCAGCTGGTGCCTACAGAGGGAGCACTTCCACTAGCCTTGGGCCTGGAGGAATCTCCCATCTTAGCAGGATGAACCTATATCCCAGCCACCTTCAACACTAGCTGACTAAAGTATCCTTGAGACACAAATAAATTTGGGTGGAAGTCAGACCACAGTGTCTACACTCCTTGGGCAATCCCTGGTGCTCCAGTGATCTCAGAGCAGTGGGCTTGTGGTGTAACCCAGTGTCATGCCAGCTGCAGTGGCCATAGGAGTGCCTGCATCACCTCCTCACCCAACTTTAAGCAGTAAAGCAAGGGAAGAGACTACTTCTGCTTTGGAGCAGGAGAGGGAAGAGCACAGAGGACATTATTTTGCAACTTGGGTGTTGACACTGTTTTGCAACTTGGGTATTAGCATAACTACAGAAGAAGAAGCACCAGGGAGATTTCTGAAGTCCCTGTTGGATGGTATTTCTAGACCCACCACAGGCCAAAAGGGAATCTGATGTCCTGCTGGGATAGAATCCGTTCTGGCAAGATTCACTATATTGCTAAAAAGTGTCTTCCGGCCTTGGATAAACATCACCAGCCATCAGGCAGTAGTGGCTGTGGACCTTGGCTGAGCCCCAGTACTGTGCTGGTCTGGAAGGCCATGGGTTACAGGTGCAATACAGTGAAATGCCACCTGTGGAGGCCATGGAAGTGCCTGCATCACCCTTCACCCAACTCCAGACAGCCCAGCATAGAGAGATACTCCTAATTGGGAGAAAGTGGGAGGAATGGAAGGAGGGACTTTACATGGAAATCGACAGAATTATTATCTTCAAGACCACTAAGGCTACGTATCTGAATGTGAAAGAGTCACAGCATTCCTGGGCTTAGGTTGTCCCCTAGTGCTGAAATGGCTATAATTACAACAGGCTTAGGTGACAACACCCAATCCCATTTGAATATTTGGAAAGTCCTCTCAGGAGGGATGAGTACAAACAAGCAAAGGGTTGAAATAAATACCTAACTGTATTAGTCCATTTTTACCCACTATACAGAACTACCTGAGACTGGGAAATTTATAAAGAAAGGAGGTTTAATTGACTCACAGTTACACATGGCTGGGTAGGTGTTAGGACACTTACAATCATGGTGGAAGGCAAAGGGGAAGCAAGGCATGTCTTACGTGGTGGAAGGAGAGAGCAAGGGGGGAAGCGCCACACTTTCAAACCATCAGATATCATGAGAACTCGCTATCATGAGAACATGGGGAAAATCTGCCCTCTTGACCCAACCACCTGCCACTATATCCCTGCCCTGACACGTAGGGATTGCAGTCTGACATAAGATTTGTATGGGGACACAGAGCCAAACCATATCATTCCTCTTCTGGCTTTTCCCAATTCTCATGTTCTTTTCCCACTGCAAAATTAATCATGCATTTTCAGTAGTCCCCCAAAGTCTTAACTCATTCCACCATTAACTCAAAAGTCCAAGTCCAAAGTCTCATCTGAGACAAGACAAGTCCCTTCCGCCTATGAGCCTGTAAAATATTAGTAGAAAAACAGGTTAGTTACTTCCAAGATACGATGAAGGCACAGACATTGGGTAAATAATCCCATTCTAAATGGAATAAATTGGCCAAATCGTAGGGGTTACATGCCCCACGCAAGTATGAAACCCAGCAGGGCAGTCATTAAATCTTAAATCTCCAAAATAATCTCCTTTTACTCCATGTCTCACCTCCAAGGCATGCTGATGCAAGGGGTGGGCTTCCAAGGCCTTGGGCAGCTCTGCCTCTGTGGCTTTTCAGGGCTCAGGTCCCATGGCTTCTCTCAAGGACTGGCATTGTGTGCCTGTGGCTTTTCCAAGCACACAGTGCAAGCTGTTATTGGATCTAACATTCTTTCTTCTGGAATATGGTGGCCCTTTACTCACAGCTCCACTAGGCAAGGCCCCTAGAAATGTGTTTTTTTTTCTTTTCTACCACATAGTCAAGGTACAAAATTTTCAAACTTTTATGCTGTGATTCATTTTTCATTATTAAAAAAATTAAATTTGTTATTTTTTAATTATTTTAAGTTCTGGAATACATGTGCAGGACATGCAGGTTTGTTACACAGGTAAACGTGGGCCTTGGTGATTTGCTGCACATATCAACCCAACACCTAGGTATTAAGCCCCACATGCATTATCTATCCTGATGCTCTCCTTCCCCCTGCTTCCTGAACAGGCCCCAATGAGTGTTGTTCCCTTCCCTGTTTCTATGTGTTCTCATTGTTCAGCTCCTACTTATAAGTGAGAACATTCGGTGTTTGGTTTTCTGTTCCTGTGTTAGTTTGCTGAGGATAATGGCTTCTGGCTCTATCCATGTCCCTGCAAATGACAACATCTTGTTCCTTTTTATGACTGCATAATATTTCATGGTGTATATGTACCACATTTTCTTATCCAGTCTATCATTGATGGGCATTTGGGTTGATTCCATATCTTTGCTATTTGGAATAGTGCTGCAATGCACATATGTGTGCATGTATCTTTACAATAGCATGATTTATATTCCTTTGTGTATATACCTAATAATGGGATTGCTGGGTCAAATGGTATTTCTGGTTCTAGGTCTTTGAGGAATCACCCCACTGTCTTCCACAATGATTGAACTAATTTACATTCCCACCAACAGTGTAAAAGCATTTCTTTTTCTCCACAGCCTCTCCAGCATCCATTGTTTCTTGAATTTTTAATAATTGCCATTCTGACTGGTGTGAGATGGTATCTAATTAAACTAAAATGCTTCTGCACAACAAAACAATCATCAGAGCAAACAGACAACCTACAGAATGGGAGGAAATTTTTGCAATCTCTCCATCTGACAAAGGCCAAATATCCAGAATCTACAAGGCACTTAAACAAATTTACAAGAAACAAACAATCCTAGACACTTCTCAAAAGAAGACATTTATGTGGCCAAAAAGAATATGTAAAAAAAAAAACTCAACATCACTGATCACTACAGAAATGCTCTGATTCTCTTCTAATCATAAGTTCCAATTTCAGACCATCTCTTTTGTGAACCCATATGACTGTATGCTGTTAGGAGCAGCAAGGTGACTTCTTTAATGTTTTGCTGCCTAGAAGTTTCTTCTACCAGATATTGTAAATCATCTCTCTCAAGTTCAAAGTTGCACAGATCCCTAGAGCAGGGACACAATAGCACCAGTCTCTCTGCTAAAGCATGATAAAAGTGGCCTTTGCTCCAGTTCCCAATAAGTTTCTCATCTCCATCAGACACCATCTCAGCCTGGACTTCATTGTCCATATCACTAACAGTATTTTTGTGCAAAGCATTCCACAAGTTTCTAGGAAGTTCCAAACTTTCCCACATCTTGTCTTTTTCTGAGCTTTCCAAAATGTTTCACCCTCTGCCTGTTACCCAGTTCCAAAGTTGCTTCCACATTTTCTGTTATTGTTGTAAGAGTGCCCTACTCCTGGTACCAATTTTTTGTATTAGTCCATTTTCACACTGCTATGAAGAAATACCTGAGACTGTTTAATTTATAAAGAAAAAAGGTTTAATTGACTCAGAATTCTGCATGACTAGGGAGGCCTCAGGAAATTTACATTCATGGTGGAAGGTGAAAGGGAAGCAAGGCACAACTTATATGGTGGCAAAAGAGAGAGAGAGAGAGAGAGAGAGTGTGGGGTGGGGGGGAAGTACCACACTTCTAAACCATCAGATCTGTTGAGAACTCACTATAATTAGAACAGCATTGGGGAAATCTGCCCCCATGATCCAATCACCTCCCACCACGTCCCTCCCCTGACATGTAGGGATTACAATTTGACATGAGATTTGGATTGGGACACAGAGCCAAACCAAATCAATAACTCTTCAAAGCCCAGACATCAACTGACATGTGCAAGCATCAAAAACATGCAGGAAAACATTACCTCACCATATGGAATCAATAAACCATCAGCAACCAATCCTACAGTGATAGATATGTAACCACTCAGAGGGAATTCAAAATAGCTGGTTTAGGGAAGCTCAACAAAATTCTAAATAACAAAGGGAATAAATTCAGAATTCTATTAGAGAAATTTAACAAACAGATTTAAAAAACAAGCAGAAACTTGGGAGCTGAAAAATTCAATTGACAAAGTTTTAAAAAATGGACAGTCTCAACAACAAAATTGATCAAGCGGAAAGATTTAGTGATCTTGAAGATGGGCTATATTTAAATACAGAGTCAAAGGAGAATGAGAAAATAATAAAAAAGAACAAAGTGCACTTATAAGATCTAGATTTTAGACTTCAAAGGACAAATCAAAAAGTTGTTGGCCTTAAAGAAGATGTAGAGAAAATATGGGATTAGAAAGTTTATTCAAATAAATAATAATAAACTTTCCAAACCTAGGGAAAGATATGAATCTGCAGGTACAATGAGATCAAGAACAATAAGCAGATTTAACCCAAATAAGACTACCTCAATGCATTTACTAATTACATTCACAAATGTCAAGGACAAACAAAATTCTAAAAGTGACAAGAGGGAAGAAGAAAAAGAAAACATAACAAAGAGCTCAAACATGTCTTTCAGGAGACTTCTCAGTGAAAACCTTACAGGTCAGAGGGAGTGGGATGGCATTCCAAGATACAGAAGGAAAAAAAATTTCAACCTAGAATAAGCAAAATTATTCAAACATGAAGAAGAAATACTTTCCCAGACAAACAAAAGCTGAGAGATTTCATGAACACCAGGCCTCTCTTACAAGAAATCCTAAAGTGAGTTACTTATTATGAAAGAAAATAATACTAATGATCAACTAGAAATAATCTAAAAGTATAAAACATGTTAGCAAAAGTAAGCACACAGGCAAGAATACTCTAAGACTGCAAATGTTTTGTATAAACCACTCATATCTTTAGTAGAAACACTAACAGATAAATCTATGAAAAATAACTACAATAATGTGTTAATAGAGAGACAATAAAAATGACATAAATGGAACAACAGAAGTCAAGAATTGGGGAGGGCAAAGTGGGATATTTTACATTTTCTTAGTTTTTTTTTTTTCTTTGTGATTGAGTTATCATCAATTCAAAATAATTGGCCACAAGATGTTATTTGCAAGACTCATGGTGGCCACAAAGCAGAAACCTATAATGGATGTAGAAAAAATTTTAAAAACGGAAACATACTAAGAAAGAATACTACACAGTCATAAAAAAGAATGAAATCATGTCATTTGCAGCAACACAGATGCAGCTGGATATTATAAGTCTAAGTGAATTAATGCAAGAACAGAAAACCAAATACTTCGTGTTCTCAGTGATAAGTGGGAGCTAAACAAAGGAAACTCAGGGAAATAAAGATGGCAACAATAGACACTGATGACTACTGTGAGGTAGAGATGGAGGCAGACAAATGTTAAAAAAACTACTGGGTACTATGTGCAGGACTTGGGTAACAGAAAAAATTGTATCCCAAACCTCTGCATTACACAATATACCCAGGTAACAAACCTCCATATGTGTCCCCTGAGTCTAAAATAAAAGTTAAAATTTTATTAACGAATGAAAATAAAAATAGGCAAAGTATCAATAGACATTTTTCCAAAAGACTCTAAACATTTATACATACATGTATATATATACATATATATAATTTGAAATATACAAAAGTACAATAAATATGTAAAAGAATGCTGTGTTCACCTCTTCTTGCATTGCTATAAAGAAATATCAAAGAGTGCATGATTTATTTTATTTTATTTGAGTGACTTATTTTAAAAAAGATGTTTAATTGGCTCACAGTTCACAGGCTATGCAGGAAACACAACACCAGCATCTGCTTGATTTTTGGGTAAACCTCAGGGAGCTTTTACTCATGAAAAAAGGTGAAGCAGGAGCAGGCACATCACATGTTGAAAACAGGAGGAAGGGTGCAAGGGAGTTGCCACACCTTTAAACAATGAGATCTTGGGTGAACAGACTTATAACCCAGGGGATGATGCTGAGCCATTCATACAGGATATGCCCCCATGTTCCAAACACCTCCTACCAGGTCCCACCTTCAACACTGAGGATTACATTTTAATATGAGATTTGGCAGGGGCACAAATCCAAACCATATGATTCTATCCTTGGCCACCAAAATCTCATGTTCTTCTCACATTGCAAAATATAGAGATCTCTTCCCAACACTCCCCTAAAAGTCTGAACTCATTCAAGCACCAAGTCCAAAGTTTTAAGTGTTATCTGAGACTCATTTTATTCTGCCTATGAGCCTGTAACATTGAAAATATGTTACTTATTTCCAAGATGCAATGGGGGTATATGCATTGGTTAAACGTTCCCCATCCAAAAGGGAGAAATTAGTCAAGAGAAAGGGGCTACAGGCTTCACAAAAGTTCAAAACCCAGCAGGAAAGTAATTAAATCTTTAAACTCCAAAATAATCTCTTTTGACTATATTACAAATCAAAACCACAAAGGGTACACTGGTGCAAAACGTGGGCTCCCAAGGCCTTCAGCAACTCTGCCCCAGGGCTGCTTTCAGAGTTTATTAAATGTCTGCAGCTTTTCCAGATGTGAGGTGCAAGTTTCTGGTGGATTTGCCATTCTAGGGTTTGGAGGATGTTGACACCCTTCTCACAGCTGCATTAGGCACTGACCCAGTGGGGACCTCCAATTCCACATTTCTCTTCTGCACTACCCTAGTAGAGGTTCTCTGTGAGGGCTCCACATCTGTAGCAGGCTTCTGCTTGGGCACTCAGGCTTTTTTATACATCTGGTGAAATCAAGCCAATGCTGCTAAGCTTCCTTCACTCTTGCATTCTGTTATCCAACAGACTAAACACCACATGGATGCTGCCAAGGCTTACTATGGCTTGCACCCTCTGAAACAGTGGTCTGAATGGTATTTGTGCCCCTTTGATATGTGGCTGGAACTGGAGTGGCCAGGATGTGGGGAGCAGTTTCCTGAAGCTTTGCAGGGCAGCAAGGCCCTAGTCCTGGCCTACAAAACTATTCTCTCCTTCTAAGCCTCTGAGCCTTTGATGGGAGGAGCCACCACAAAGTTCTGAAAATTCTTCAAGGTTTTTTTCTCATTGTCTTGACTATTAGCACTTGGCTCCTTTTTATTTATGCAAATTTCTCAAGCACATTGTTTCTCCACAGCCTGCTTTTATGTTTCCTTGGAAAATAGGCTTCTTTTTTCTACCACATGGCCAGATGGCAAATTTTCAAACTTTTATGCTCTGCTTCCAGTTTAAATATAAATTCCAACTTTAAGTCATTTCTTTGCTTCCACATCTTAGTGTAGGTTGTTAGAAGCAGCCAGGCCACATCTTGAATGCTTTGCTGCTTTGACATTTCTTCCACCAAATACATTGAGTGCTCACTCTCAAGATCAAATTTCCACAGATCCCTAGGACATGAATACAATACAGCTAAGTTATTTGCTAGGGCATATCAAGAATTACCTTCACTCTAGCTTCTAATAAGTTTGTCATTTCTGTCTGAGACCTTATCAGCCTGGACTTCACTGTCCATATTATTAGTAGTATTTTGGTCACAAGCATTTAACCAGTCTCTAAGGAGTTCCAAACTTTCCCTTGTCTACCTGTGTTCTTCTGTGCCCTCCAAACTCTTTCAACCTGTGCCCATTACCCAGTTGCAAAGTTGCTTCCATATTTTCAGTTATCTTTATAGCAATTCCCCCCTCCTCACTACCAATTTACTGTGCTAGGCCATTCTTGCATTGTTATAAAGAAATATATGAGGCTGGGTAATTTACAAGAAAAGAAGTTTAATTGGCTCACGTTTCTGCAGGCTGTACAGTAAACATGGTGCTAATATCTGCTGGCTTCTGGGTAGGCCTCAGGGAGCTTTTATTTATGGCAGAAGGCAAAATGGGAGCAGTCACATCACATGGAAAAAGCAGGAGCAAGAGTGGGGAGAAATGACACGTTGAAACCAGATTGCCTGTGAACTCACTCATCACTGAGGAGATGATGCTGAGTCATTCATGAGAGATATACCACCATGATCCACACACTTCCCAACATGCTCCACTTCCAACACTGGGGATTCCATTTCAACATTAGATTTTGCAGTGACACGATTCAAACCATATCAGTTGCCCAACAATATTAGTCATCTATTAGTCATCATGGAATTACAAATCAAAACCTCAATGACATAAAACTCTACAACTAGGACAGATGTAATTAAAAGATAAATAATAGCAGACAGAAAATGAATAAATTGGATCCCTCATGCACTGCTGGTAAGAATATAAAATTGCAAAGTCACTTTGGAAAATAGCCTGGCCATTCCTCAGCAGGTTAACAACAGAGTTACCATATGACTCAGTAATTCCAGCATAGGTATATATCTGAGAATTGAAAAACAGAAATTTAAAAAGAAAACATATGCCAACACAAAACTTGTGTATGAATGTTTAAAGCCTCATTATTCTTCATAGTCAAAAATAGGAAAATTCAAATGCCCATAAACTGTTAAATGAGTAAATAATATGTATATCCATGCAATAAATAAATAACTTATATATATATATATATGTATATTTTTTATTGATCATTCTTGAGTGTTTCTCGCAGAGGGGGATTTGGCAGGGTCATAGGACAATAGTGGAGGGAAGGTCAGCAGATAAACAAGTGAACAAAGGTCTCTGGTTTTCCTAGGCAGAAGGACCCTGGGGCCTTCTGCAGTGTTTGTGTCCCTGGGTACTTGAGATTAGGGAGTGGTGATGACTCTTAACGAGCATGCTGCCTTCAAGCATCTGTTTAACAAAGCATATCTTGCACCGCCCTTAATCCATTTAACCCTGAGTGGACACAGCACATGTTTCAGAGAGCAGCGGGTTGGGGGTAAGGTCATAGATCAACAGCATCCCAAGGCAGAAGAATTTTTCTTAGTACAGAACAAAATGGAGTCTCCTATGTCTACTTCTTTCTACACAGACAGAGCAACAATCTGATTTCTCTATCTTTTCCCCACATTTCCCCCTTTTCTATTCGACAAAACCGCCAACCTCATCATGGCCCGTTCTCAATGAGCTGTTGGGTACACCTCCCAGACGGGGTGGCAGCCGGGCAGAGGGGCTCCTCACTTCCCAGAAGGGGCGGCCGGGCAGAGGTGCCCCCCACCTCCCTCCCTGACGGGGTGGCTGGCCAGTCGGGGGCTGCCCCCCACCTCCCTCCCGGACGGGGCAGCTGGCCGGGTGGGGGCTGCCCCCCACCTCCCGGACGGGGCGGCTGCTGGGCGGAGATGCTCCTCACATCCCAGACAGGGCGGCGGGGCAGAGGCGCTCCCCACATCTCAGACAATGGGCGGCTGGGCAGAGATGCTCCTCACTTCCTAGACGGGATGGCGGCCAGGAAGAGGCGCTCCTCACTTCCCAGACTGGGCAGCCGGGCAGAGGGGCTCCTCACATCCCAGAAGATGGGCGGCCAGGCAGAGACGCTCCTCACTTCCCAGACGGGGTGGCGGCCGGGCAGAGGCTGCAATCTTGGCACTTTGGGAGGCCAAGGCAGGCAGCTGGGAGGTGGAGGTTGTAGCGAGCCGAGATCACACCACTGCACTCCAGCCTGGGCAACATTGAGCACTGAGTGAACGAGACTCCATCTGCAATCCCGGCACCTCGGGAGGCCGAGGCTGGCAGATCACTCACGGTTAGGAGCTGGAGACCAGCCTGGCCAACACAGTGAAACCCTGTCTCCACCAAAAAAATATGAAAACCAGTCAGGCGTGGCAGCGCGCGCCTGCAATCGCAGGCACTCAGCAGGCTGAGGCAGGAGAATCAGGCAGGGAGGTTGCAGTGAGCAGAGATGGCGGCAGTACAGTCCAGCTTTGGCTCGGCATCAGAGGGAGACTGTGGAAAGAGAGGGAGAGGGAGACCGTGGGGAGAGGGAGAGGGAGAGTGCAATAAATATTTTTAGGGAAGAAAAAGGAATGAAGTTCTTATACATGCTATAACATAGATGCACCTCAAAAACGTAACGCTAAGTGAAAGAAGTCAGTTACAACAGCCCACATGTTGTATGATTCAATTTATGCAAAATTTTCAGGACACAAACAAATATAAAGGCAGAAACTGGAATAGTAATTGGTTAGAAAGGGGGAAATGACAAGATTGATGATTAACAGCTAGAAGGTATGGAATTTCTATTTGGCATGTTGAAAATGTTCTAAAATTGATTGTGTTAATGGTTGCACAACACTCTACATACACTACAGAGCATTGACTTGTACATTTATTGGGCATGATGTACAGTATGTGAATTATATCTCAATAAGTTTATTTTTTTAAATAGTATATAGAGATCTTGTTTACCCTTCACCCTGTTGTAGAGTTTTGTGTTATTGTGGTTTTGATTTGTAATTCCATGATGACTAATATTGTTGGGTATCTGATATGGTTTGAATCGTGTCCCTGCAAAATCTAATGTTGAAACGGAATCCCCAGTTTTGGAAATGCAGCGTGTTGGGAGGTGTGTGGATCATGGTAGTGTACCCCTCATGAATGACTCAGCATCATCTTGTTTTCCCTCAATGGTAATATCTTATATAACAATAGTACAGTATCAAAAGCCAGTAATAATGATACAATCTATAGATTTAAATTAGATTTCATCAGTTCTTATATGCATTTATTGGTATATGTATTTATAGTTCTGTGCAATATTATAACATGTACATATTTGTGTAACTACAACCACAATCAAAATATAAAACTGTTTTATCACCACAAAGGAACTATGTTGTTCTATTCCCCACCATCTCCTCATCCCTTTAAGTACTTACTTTTTGTCACATCAACTGCAGTAAACCTAGCTTCACAAAAAAAAGACATAGTCAAAATAAATGTAATATGATATAAAGTTTAAACTGTATTTATTTCAGACCAGTAGAACTAGTAATACAATGTGTGTGACAGCTGTTGACTAATGCTGTATTTT
Source organism: Homo sapiens (assembly GCF_000001405.40). Classification (NCBI taxonomy): domain Eukaryota; kingdom Metazoa; phylum Chordata; class Mammalia; order Primates; family Hominidae; genus Homo; species Homo sapiens. The sequence continues at coordinate 80,213,445 of NC_000023.11, read as the reverse complement.
TTCAAAATTATTAAATAACTTGTGCAACACCTGTGAGTTTGATAAGATGCTCCAGAGTGTCACATTCCACAGTTTGAGGAATGCAACTATAAGTAGCTTGTGAAATTTCTAAAATAGGCAGGAAGCCCTATATCTGCCAGACATTTCTTTCAGGGAGCTCCCTCTACCTACTCAAGCCTTGATCTTGAAGAATAATTTCTGACATATGAGCCCAGGGGTTAATTACTGTGTTCTTTCCATAGCTTATCTAACATGCCAGAAGGTAAGATAATCTCCATTTTAGTTGTTTTTTCAAACAATGCAGTAGTTTCCCTGCAAACAGCAGAAAAAGGTAACTTCACCTCTCTAAAAGTTAATGTAAACTCATGACTTTAGCTATACATGAATGTGCCACGTGCCACATATGACACACAACTGTGCCACATGTGACCCGCAACTATGGCAACTTTATCTAAATGACTTCTGCCTTATGAGTGTTTTCTAGTAACTAGAGCTTCTTAGAGCATTATTTCTCTCCTATAGTGCAAGCCTAAAAAGTTAGGATGTGAATGGTCATATCAGCTTCAAAGTATTTATAAGATTGAATATCTTTGATGTTCTGGTTGAGATTGTGTCCTAAAATGGTATAACATAAATATGTTTATCTCTCTCTTTTCCCTTTATCTTATCCTACAAACCTTTGCTTATTATAATTTAGTGGTAATAAATAGTGTGGGATTTGGAAGATACAAATTTTGGGCTCAGCATTGCCACTAACTTGCTGTGTGCTCTTGGTTAAGCAACTCACTCTCTTTAAACCTCAGGTTTCTTACCTATAAATGTGAAAGTAATTTCTAAGTTCCCTTCTTTCTCTAATATCATGAAGCTCTATGTTGAGTTTCTGCTCTGAGTGGTCCTTGGTATACAAATAGATCTCATTATGCTTTTTCTTGTTCCATGTCTCTAGTTTCCATGTATAAGCTAATGTCTGCAAAATGTTTAGATGTTTTTTGAGGAAAGAAATGCTATATAAATAAATGTCATCCTGATACCATAAATGGGGAACAAAAAAGAATGACAAGACTACCAGTGGTAATATGAAAGCATATTTTACTATGAAAGCGCAGGTACATATTGAAGCAATTGAATTATTTAGAACAATTCTTTTTCATTTTATAATCCTGTAGATTATTACCTCAATTTTTTTGTAAAATAAATATAAGGAGTCTTTATCTTCCAAGTAAAAAACTGAAACTGTGGGGACCTTGGAAATTTGAAGCAAAACACACTTTAAGGCATCAAGAAAACTAATTTGACTGGAGAGTTAAATTGAGATCATGCCTGACACTTTGATCAAAGAAGTTAGAAATCAGAAAGCAGACTTGTTCAAAATGGAAAAAAAACACCTTATAGGCCTGTCAGCTCAGTTGATGTGAATTAAGCCAACAATTATAATGTACCTCAGGGAAATTTTCCCCTTTCAGAAATAAACTGATAGTGTATAATTGTGTAATTGAACAATTTACTCGAATGAGAGCTTTATGTTTCTGCTTGTTCTTGTTTAGTGTTTGCTTGGGCTAACAGACTAACTTATGTGCTTTATGTGCCTTACCATTATAAGTAATAAAACTTCAGGGGATGGAAGTTGAGGTCTCTCAAGTAATGGTTTTCTTTCTAAAAGACTTTAATATTTCTGTTGCTTAAGTGTAGATTACATAGGTATATATAAAAAAGAAACTTTTGTCTCTGTAAGCCCAGAATATATGCAATACAGAGGAAATATATCCGCTATGAGAATGCTTTACTCTATATCTCCAAAATAATGACAAATTACAGCCCACAAAAATTATATCGAAATGCTGACGTCTGGGGAACAGATGATAATTGTATACAAATAATGGGCTATTGGTAAATGATGATTGACAGCACAGGTCAGAATGTGGAGAGCATGTGTTGGATTCCTTCAGATCTTGGGGAGTTGCTGACAGCTCACTCTACAGTTCACTTTCTTCTCACTCCAACAGCAATTTAGGATGGATGCTGAATTTTTCTCAACCTGGAAAAATACATCCCATTGAAAATTTGTTTTTTTTTCACCAATGTGAAATTTTTCTAGACAAAATGGAGCATTATATCTTGGTCATTTCCAATTAAGAAAGGTTGTGATATGGGAAAATATGTTTCTAAAAATTGCGGAATTGTTCTTATCTATAAAAAGCTCATATTTGATAGTTCAGGAGTTTTTGTTTTTTAGGGGTTCATTACAATTTAAGGTGACTAAGGATAAGAATTATAGTTAATATATCATTCTGTAAATAAAATGTGCCAAAACTTACATTATTAGTGAAAAAAGGATAAAAAATCTAAAAGTTACTTCAAATTACAGATTTGAAAAGCTTATTTATGAAACAGGTAGTAAGGAACCAGTAAGTAAGGGAGAGAGATGTAAAGAAAGTTATTTATATGAAGATGTGTTTTTGGTAAAGATGTTTATAAAGAAAAGATAATAATTTTGTCTGAGAAAGGATCATGTATGGTAAATTTTTTTGTCCTACAGTAAAATGTCTGGTTATCTAAAGAAGAAGAAGGAGAAGAAGAAAATCTGGGGCTGAATGAAAAGCTCAGGAGTGATGGGAATGGTCTATGTAAGTCATATGTAATCTTTCCTGTTTCTCAGTTTGTCTATCTTCATGCACATATAGGGAAAATAGAAAGTTGAAAACATTTAGATAATAACATACTCTTTAAAACCTGATACAGAATTGAAGAAATTTGTCTAATTAACATTTTCATAGCTAAAGCTCTTAGTCTTGATTAAAGAAAATAATAAATATTGTAAAGAAATGCATCAGCATTTTGGCAATCCTTTTTTAATATACTTAAGCATGAAGCTGGATTTAGTGTGGTCAAATTTCACATTTATGTTTGCATTGCTTCACACTGTGTTTACTGTTTTGCATAGATAGTGCTGGCACTGGAGTGCTTACTGGTCATGTGCTTAGAGTGAATTTCTTGATTGCACAGGATGTATGGTGATATTGGTGACCTAAGGATATTGAATTGTGTATCAGGAATAAAATATTCATTATTAGGGTTTTTGGGGACTCAGGGGAACACTGTAGCCTCCAGCATAGACTGAGTAAGAAAAATTTAGGGATGGTTTCCTGTTTCAATAGTTTGGGTTGGTTTCATATTTCTTCCTTTGATGGAAAAAAATCTGTGATATGGGTAAAAAGTTTTAATGTTCAGGAAATATTGGTTTTGTTCTTCAGGAAATTATATTGATTAGGATTTCTCTCAAGCTAATTCAGTTGTGTTTACTACTATTAAATTAATGTGACATTCATTTGGATTAAGTAGCGGAAAAAGGCGAGACTTTCTAGTGATTTTTTTTTTTAATCTCAAGCTGTCAATCACTGATGGGTCTTCATGTGTGTACATGAAAATAAAATATGTGCAAGTGTTGCAATGGTTTGAAAACTTTGGTGGTTAAAGTTACCTAATTACCTGTCAGTACTGTACCTAGAAACCAATCTTGGAAATGTGTGATGATATGCTTTTGAAAATAGCTGAAAATAAATTGGTTGCTTGTTTTTACTTTGTCCTTGTTTTGCTGCATAGTATTTAAGTGAAAGGAGATTTTTTCTCATATTGAATTTTCAAAACTGATATTTGCATTTGCCATTTTTTTATGATGGAAAGAAAAATCAGTTGTCTTACTTTGATAAGTTTATCATAGGACTTATCACATTTTTTATGCTTTTGGTCACAGTTCTGTCACTAGAATACTAGCAAGTAGACATATGCAATGAGTAACCTAACTACTTTAATACGTTGGTTTAAAGTACTGCAGGTAGTAATTCCTAAACACCAAATCACAACGTTTTAATTTGCAACATGTTAGAGAAAAATGATAGGACCTTCTTTTTTTTTTTTTGAGATGGAGTCTCGCTCTGTCGCCCAGGCTGGAGTGCAATGGTGTGATCTTGGCTCACTGCAAGCTCCGCCTCCTGGGCTCAGGCCATTCTCCTGCCTCAGCATCCTGAGTAGCTGGGACCATAGGCACCGGCCACCACGCCTGGTTAATTTTTTGTATTTTTAGTAGAGACGGGGTTTCACCGTGTTAGCCAGGATGGTCTCGATCTCCTGACCTCGTGATCCGCCCACCTCAGCCTCCCAAAGTGCTGGGATTACAAGTGTGAGCCACCGCGCCCGGCCGATAGGAACTTCTATAGTATAAATGTCCTATTAACTCATGCTTGTGCACCAACCACTGTTAAATTTTGATCATTGACATCAGTCAAAGCTTCATCTTCTGACTTGGGAGAAGGTGACACTCAAAATTCTCTTTAGTGACACAAGACTAGTAACTAAATTATTCAGTCCCCCTAGGCCCAGGGACTATCGTGGAAGAGGTGGACTCATGAGATTGTAGGGGCTGATCTTGAGGGATAAGATTAGTTCACAGATTCTCTATAAATTAAACATTAATATAAAAAAGGACACTGATGCAAGACCAGCATCTGTACCCATGTATTACAATAACAGTGTTTTACTGGAGCATTGTTCTGCTCTTTAAAAGAAAATTATAAAAGGTTATACAAGTTTATGGAAATCTTACCTTATGGTCAGACAGATTAAAATTAGATTTGGTCATAAGGTTTTATTAAAATTAACTTTAACATTAGTCATACCCAATACAAAGGTAAAATTTTGGTTTTCTCTTTTGAACAAAATGTTTGCATAATATTAAGGGATAAAAGATTTTGTTTAGAAATCTTGAAACAAGAGAAAATGGACAGACAACATACCAAAATGTAGGATATGCAACAAAAGCAGTTCCAGGGGGAAATTTATAGAAATAAACAAATACATTAAGAAAAAAATATATTGAACCTCACTTTATACCTCAAGGAACTAGAAAAAGAAAAACAAACTATTTTCAAAGTCATCAAGATGGAAGAAATAACAAGGAACTGAGCAGAAAGCAATGAAATAGACACTGCAAAACAATAGAAAATATCAAGGAATTTGAGAGCTGATTTTCTAAAAACTTAAGTAAAATGGACAAACCTTTAACTAGATCAAAAAAGAAAAGAGGTTCCAGTTCAAGATGGCTGACTAGAAGCAGCTAGAATTTGCCTCTCTCATAGAGAAGAAACAAAGTTATAAATAAATACTAAATCTTTAAATGGATAATCTGAGAGCTTATGCTGGGATTCACCAGAAAATCAATGGGATCAACAGATAGCCAAAAGGAGTGAAGCCATGAAGTCAGGCTGCTGCCCACCTGGGATTGGCTTGGAGCTGGGGGAAGCTCCTCAACATGGGAAAAGGGTGAGTGAGTGAGAGTCCCCTGGGGGTTCCACAATTCTATCACAGACTTTTACAATGCTGAGCATGGGATAGCCCTCTTGACAACCCCAGGCATTCAGACTGACACAGAGAGCCACCTGGAATCTGTGAAGAGGCAACACTCAAGCCCACATGAAACCTCACAGGCTTTTGATCTCTAAGCAGCTCAGTGCCAGCTTCTGTTGCCCCACAAAGAGGAGAGGCAAAGCACTTTTGCATACCTCTAGGATAAATGTCACAGCCATAGTACTGAGGAGCAGCCAGACTGCATACTGTGTGACCCCTACCTCCACTGCTCCTTGCCAGGTTGGGCTTGCTGACTTGGGCCCCCGGTGCAGTTGCCCCACCCCTGCCTGATCACTGTGGTCATGGCTGTGTTCCTCTGAGTGCATAACTCTAAGAGGTAGTTGGCAAGTTCTTTAAAATTGCCACTGTCACTGTCCTATCCCCTGCTGTTGCCAGGCCAGGGAGAGAACAAGGAGGTGGGAGCACTTTCGCATGCCTCCAGCACAGATGCCACAGCTGAGATATCGAATAGTAGTGGGCAGGCTGCATGCTCCACAACTCCCCACCTCGGCTGCCCCCTGCCAAATGGGGGCTTGCCACCTTCTGGCCCACAGTGCAGCTGCCCCACTCCCACTTGGACACGATGGCCACAGAACAGTTCCTCTGAGAGACCAATTCCCGGAGGCAGCAACAAGCTTTTGGCAGTTGTCACTACCACTGCTTCTGCCCCTACCGTGCACAGACCAGCACAGGTGTGAGGAAGCTTGGCACCTTTGTGTGCCCCCAACAGCGAAATCCAGTGCTATTTGTGTGGGAGGGAAGTGTAAATGTGCCATGTGCCTGACAGCCACCAATCTATTGCCCTAGCTTAGGGGACTTGCCCTCCTCAGTGAAAGGCCTATAGCCTATAGCTGCCCTTCCCTGGTGAACATTTTAACTGCAGCCCAGAGACCTTCTGAAAACCCAACTCCCACAGACCTGTGATCTTCCCACAGACTCCTTCTGCTTAAGTGTTCTGCCTGTTCCATCCTGAGATTTCTGCTGGTGATCTGGGGACCAGTCCACTCCTTTTCATCACAGCCAGCAATTGAACTCTGGGATAACCTGACCCTATTCCAGCACCTTCAGGACTTATTCACACTGTCCAGTTGGCCATCTAGGGGCCTGGGAACTGTAGAACTACCTGGGCCATTCTAGCATTGCTGGTATGTGGCCACTTCCCCTATAGCCTAAAGTGGAGCTGAGCCAAGTAGCTGACGTCACCACAACCAACACCCACCCACATAGGCTGAAAGGTGGAGCCTCCTACTCTACATGAAGCAGCATCATCACCACATCAGAGAACAAGAGCACCATAAAGTTATCTGTATCAGAATGAGTGAAGAGGTTCCATCCAAAAACAACTCCCATGGAGAGTTGCAAGACAAGCATTTCCTATGGTTCTAAAGCAGCGTTGTTTTCTGAGGTAAATACCCAAGATGCATTGTCTCATGGCCACGGAAAGCTAGGACATGGACACACAAGAGTGAGGTTAGGAGCAGAAGTTTAATAGACAAAAGAAAGAGAAGAGCTGTCTCTTGCAGAGAGAGGGGTCCCAAACGGGTTTCTGTTTTGAGGTGAAATGCAGAGGTTTTATAGATAAGCCTGAGGAGGCAGTGTCTGATTTACATAAGGCATGAAAGATTGGTCAGACCAAGTGTGCCAATTGCATAAGGTGTGAAAAACTGGTTAGGGCTAGGTATGCCATTTCTATAGGGTGCAAATAGCTGGCTGCCCCCACCCTAATCTTTTGTTATGCAGATGAATTCTCTACTTGACTGGCACCATGTTGCCTGTTTCTTTACTGTACATTTGGTAACAAAGAAAAGGAAAGATGAAGTTTCCATGCTGGATATGCCGAGCCGCCAGGTAGCCTTTTTCTATTGGCACAGCTGCCGGCATTTCCCCATGCAAGCTTCCAGCTTGCTTATCTATGTTTATAGCTTGATTTTTTAAGCTGCTCTTGTAGGGTGATCCCCTGAAACTATTGCTACAGAATAAAAGATGAAATGCTCCTGATTACTGTAAATACAAAATTGCATGCAGGATTGTGTAAAGACAATGCCAGGTTGGACTGCCAGAATGAGCCAACAGCATGTGATGTGCTTCCCCCTGCAGAGAGCCTGTGAACAGACGTGCAGTCAGGGAGGTTTCACATCACCAAGATTCCTATCCCAGAAAAGCAGATGTTCATAGCTCTGGGAATGGAATGCGACCCTTGTGGAGAGCCTATAAATGGACGCATGAGGGGCGCCTGTCCATGTGGATAAGATAGGGCTATAAATGCCCTCATCTTGCCACGGCTCTTCTAGGTCTCTTTAGGGTTAAGGCATACTCCCTTCTGAGAATTTCTGGTCTAACCGGTTGTCTAGCTTCACGTCCTGTTTCTATGGATTGTTTGTAACCAGCTTTTGCTGCAACTGTTACTGCTGATTAATATTTTGCTATTAATTAAACAGCTTATTTCTCAACCTGCCGATCCACCTGGGGATAAAGAAAGAGCCCCGTTGCATTGCGGGCTGCTGGCCAGATCCCGCAATATGCTCTTTATTAGGAAAAAAATAATTTCCTGGGCTGCTTTTTGTCAGAAAGGAAGCCCTGCCAAGAACTCTGTTACCCTCACTATCTGCCTAAATAATTTTTCTTCTAGCTCCTGTATGCAACCAACACTGGAGAATACGTATTTATAAAACAAATACTACCAGACCTCAGAAAAAAATTAACAGCAATATGAGGATAGTGGGGGACTTCAACACCCCATTGACAACACTAGAAAGATTGAGTCAGAAAAATCAGCAAAGAAACTTTGAACTTCTTAAAATGTTCTGTAGAGCGAATGGACCTACATAGACATATACAGAATATTTTATCCAACAACTGCTGAATATGCAATCTTCTCATCTGTACATGGAACATTCTCTAAAATCGACCTTATGTCTAGCAATCAGGCAAGTCTCAATGAAAAAAAAAAGAAATTATATCAGTTACCTTCTTGGATGACAGCAGAACAAAATAAGAAATAAAAACTGAGAGAAATTCTCAAAACTACACAAGTACATGGAAAGTAAACAACTTGCTCCTGAATGACTTTTGGGTAGACAACAAAATCAAGGCAAAATTTTTTTTAAAAATCCTTTAAACAAATGAAAATAGAAACACAACATAGTAAAACCTCTAGAATAAAGCAAAAGCAGTGCTAAAAATGAAAGTTTATATCTACATCCAAAAGATAAAAAGATCTCAAATTAACAATCTAATGTTGTTCCTCAAGGAACTAGAAAACCAAGAACAAACTAACCCCAAAGTTAGCAGAAGAAAGGAAATACCAAAGATCAGAGCAGAACTAAATGAGATTGAGACCAAAAAAAGATAGAAAGGATTTAAAAAAATGAAATTTTTTTTGAAAGGACAAACAAAATTGATAAATTACTAGCTAGACTGAGACAACCAAAAGTTTCAAATATATACAATCAGAAATAATAAAGATGGCATAAATAAAACTGACACCAGAAAATAAAAAAGACCATCAGAGCCTGCTAGAAATACCTCTATGAACACAAACTAGAAAACCTAGATGAATTGAATAAGTTCCTGGGAAAGTACAATCTTCCAAGATTGAACCAGGAAAAAATATGAAACCTGAACAGACCAATAATGAGCAATGAAATCAAATCAGTAATAAATAATCTCCAAACAAAAAAAGTCCAGGACCAGTTGGATTCACAGCCAAATTTTATCCGACATACAAATGATAGCTGGTCCCAATCTGAGTGAAAATAGTCCATAAACTCAAGGAGTTTAAATCCCTTCCTAACTCATTATATGAATCCAGTATCAATGATATAAAAATTGGCCAGCACAGAAGAAAAGAAGAAAATTACAGGCCAGTATCTCTGATGAACATAAATGGAAAAGTCCTCAATAGTAGCAAACCAAATCCAAAAGCACATAAAAATATAATTTACCACAGTCAAGTGGGCTTTACTCCAGGGATGCAAGGATGTTTTCAACATACACAAATCAATAAGCATGACCCACCATATAAACAGATCTAAGAACAAAAATCATGTAATCACATCAATAAATTCAGAAAAAAAAGCACTGGATGAAATCCAACATCACTTCCTGATAAAAACCCTCAACAAACTAGGCATAAATGGAACATACTACAAAATAATAAGACAAGCCCATATATGACAGACCCACAACCAACATCGTACTGAATGGGGAGATATTGGAAGCATTTTTGCATGATGCCCACTGTTAGCACTCCTGTTCAAGATAGTACTGAAAGTCCTAGCCGGAGCTATCAGGCAAGAGAAAAAAAAAAGGTATTAAAATAAGAAAAGAGAAAGTCAAGTTATTTCTGTCCACTAATGACATAATTGAATACCTAGAAACCTGCAGTGACTCCTCTGGAAGACCTCTAGATCTGATTAGCAACTTCAGTAAAGTCTCAAGATACAGTATCAATGTATACAAATTACTAGCATTTCTGTACGCCAATATTGTTCAAGCTAAGAATAAAATTAAGAATGAAATCCCATTTACAATAGCCAGAAAAAAAATAAAATACCTAGGAATAATTTAACCAAGAGACGAAAATTCTGTACAAAGAGGATTACAAAACACTGATGGAAGAAATTGTAGATGTCACAAATAAATGGAAATTCACCTCATACTCAGGTATTATAAGAATCAATATTATTAAAATGACCATGCTACCCAAAGCAATCTACAGATTCAATACAATTCCTATCAAATAACCAATGTCATTTTTCACAGAATTTTTTTTTTAAAATAAAATTCATATAAAACAAAAAATCCTGAATAGCCAAAGCACTCCTAAAAAATGATAAATCTGGAGACCTCACATTGCCTGACTTCAAATTATATTACAAGGCTATAGTAACTAAAAAAGTAGGGTACTGGTACAAAAATAGACACAAAGATCAAGGGAACAGAATAGAGAACCCAGAAATAAAACCACATGCCTACAAGAAACTGATTTTCAATAACATGGACAAAAGTAAACAATGGGAAAAGGACACCTTATTAAATAAATTATCCTGTGAAAAATGGCTAGCCATATGCAAAATAAAAGTGCACCCCTATCTCTCAGCATGTACAAAAATTAAATCAAGATGGATTAAAGAGCTAAATATATAACATGAAGCTGTAAAAATCTTAGAAAACACTTAGAAAAAACCTCTTCTGGACATCAGCCTAGGCAAAGAACTCATGATCAAGATCCCAAAAGCAATTGCAACAAGACCAAAAATAGACAAATGATACTTAATCAAATTAAAAAGCTTTGGCACAGCAAAAAATCAATAAATAAATAACAAACAGAATCAATAATCTACAGAATAGGAGAAAATATTCACAAATTATGCCTCCGAGAAAGGATTAATACCTAAAATATGGAAAGAACTAAAATGATTCAACAAGACAAAAATGGACAACCCCATAAAAACTGGGCAAACGACATGAACATATATTTTTCAAAAAAAGAAACACAAGCAGACAGGAAACATAAAAAATGCTAAACATCACTAGTAATCAGAGAAATGCAAAATAAAACCACACCAACATACTATCTTACACCAGTCAGAATGACTTTTATTAAAATGTCAAAAAAACTACAGACGGTGGCATCGATGCAGAGAAAAGGAATATTCATGCATTGTTGGTAGGAAGGTGAATTAGTTTAACCTCTATGGAAAACAGAATGGAGATCTTTCAAAGAACCAAAAATAGAATTACTATTCATCCCATCAATCTTATTACTGAGTAACTACCCAAAGGGAAAAATCATTATATCAAAAAGACATGTGCACTCATATGTTTATCACAACACTATTTACAATGGCAAAGTAACGGAAACAACCTAAGGGTCCACCAACAGTTGATAGGATAAAGAAAATGTGGAATATATTATGTGATGGAATACTACACAACCACAAAAATGGACACAATCATGTCCCTTGAAGCAATATGGATTGAGTTGGAAGCTATTACTCTGAATGAACACACACAGAAGCTGAAAATCAAGTATTACATGTTCTCACTTATAAGTGTGAGCTAAACAGAAGGTACACATGAACATAAAGATAAGAAAACAAACTTTGGGGCCTCCAAAGAAGAGAGGGTTGAGGGAGAGTTAAAAATTATCTACTTGGTGCAGTGTCCAATATTTGGGTGTCAGATACATTAGAAGCCCAACCCCCACCATTATACATCCAATACCATGTAACAAGCGTATGTACCCCAGATTTAAAATAAAAAAATATAAAAAGAGAAGATGCAAACTAATAAAATCAGAAATGAAAAAGGGCACATTACAACTGATACTACAGAAATACAAAGTATCATAGTAGATTACTATAAACAATTATATGCCAACATATTGGATAACCTAGAAGAAATCGGTAACTTTCTAGAAAAATACAACCTACTAAGACTGAAACATAAAGAAACAGAAAATAAATTTACCAATAATGAGTGAGGAGATTGAATTACTAATCTAAAACCTCCCAACAGAGAAAAGCCCAAGACATGAAAACTTTAATGCTGAATTTTACCAAATATTTAAATAGCTAATACCAATCCTTTAAAACTCTTCCAAAAAACTGAGAACTAAACACTTTTTAACTCATTTTATGAGGCCTGTATTACCCTGATACGAAAGCTAGACAAGGATACTGCGAGAAAAGAAAACTACAAGTTAATATTCCTGATGAAAATCGATGTAAAATTTCTTAACAAAAGCATAGCAAAACAAATTAAGAGCACATTAAAAGGATCATACACCATAACCAATAAGGATTTATCCCTTGAATACAAGGATGTTTTAACATATGTAAATCAATAAATGTGATTCAACACTTTAAAACAATGAAAGGCAAAAATCATATGATTATGTCAATATACACAGAAAAAAATAAAATTCAACATTCTTTTACAATAAAACCTCTCAACAACAAAAAAGGTACAGAAGGAATGTACCTCAAGATAATAAAAGCCATATATGAGAATTACACAGCTAACATCATACTCAATGCTGAATAGCTGAAAGGTCTTTCTGTAAGATCAGTAACAAGACAAGGTTGCTCACTTTAGTCACTTCTATTAAGTATAGTAGTGGAGGTTTTAGCCAGATAAATTAAGCAAGAAAAAATATAAATGGCATCTAAATAGAAAAGTAAGAAATAAAATCATCTCTGCAGATTACATGTTCTTATATACAGAAAACCTCAAAGATGGCTGGGCGAGGTGGCTCACGCCTGAGGCGGGTAGATCACGAGGTCAGGAGATCGAGACCATCCTCGCTAACACAGCGAAATCCCGTCTCTACTAAAAATACAAAAACTTAGCCCGGCGCCGTGGCGGGCGCCTGTAGTCCCAGCTGCTCCGGAGGCTGAGGCAGGAGAATGGCGTGAACCCGGGAGGCGGAGCTTGCCGTGAGCCGAGATAGAGCCACTGCACTCCAGCGTGGGCGAAAAAGCGAGACTCCGTCTCAGAAAAAAAAAAAAAAAGAAAAAAGAAAACCGTAAAGACTCCACAAAACCTGTTAGAAATAATAAATTCATTAAAGTTGTAGGATAAAAACACAACATGAAAAAATAAGTAGTGTTTTTATGCATTAGTAATGAACTATCTGAAAAAGAAATTAATAATGCAATGCCAAATACAACAGTCTCCAAAAATATCAAAACAAAATTAACCAAAGAGCTTAATCTGTACACCGAGTACTATAAAACATTGATGAAAAGAAATGAATAAGACACATATCAGTGGAAAGATATTCCATGTTTATGAATTAAAAATAAAAATATTGCTAAAATATGCATACTATCCACAGATATTTATAGATTAAATGCAATCTTTATTAAAGTTCTAATGGTTTTTTTTTACAGAAATAGAATAAACAATCCTAAATTTCATATGGAACCAAAAAAGACCCCAAATAACTAAAGCAAGCTTGTACTAAAAGAACAAATATTGTGATATCACACTACCTGACATGAAAATATACTACAAAACTATAGCAACAAAAATAGTATGATAATGGACTATAAAAACATACATATTGACTAATGGAAAAATGCTTCAGAAATAAATTCATTCATGTGTGTTCAACTGATCTTCAACCAACGTTTTAGGAAGACACAATGCAGAAAAGGGCAGTCTCTTCAATACATAGTAGTGGGAAAAGTGGATATTAATATTTAGGAGAAAAAACTTAGACCATTGTCTTACACCATATGTAGAAATAAATTCACAATAGGTTAAAGACTTATATGTAATACCTGAAAAAGTAAAACCATTATAAGAAAATAGAGCAGATCAGCACCATAACATGTGTATGGGCACTAATTTTTTGATTATGACACCAAAAACACAGGCAACAAAAGCAAAAATAGACAAATTAAATAGGATCAAGTTACACCCCTTCTGTACAACAAAGGAAAAAATTAAGAAAGTGAAGAGTAAACCTATGGAATGGGAAGAATTGCAAATCATACATCTGAAACAAGGTTAATATCCAAAATACGTAAGAAACATAACTCAATAGCAAGAGAAAACGAATAATCCAATAAATGAATGGGCAAAAGACCTTAATCTACATTTCTTAAAAGCAGACATACAAATGGCCAGAAGATATATGAAAATGTGCTTAACATCACTAATAATCAAGGAAATGCAAATAAAAAACAAAATTATCACCTTAAACCTTTTAGAATGGGTTATATATAAAAAAGTCAAGATAAGTATTGGTGAGTACGTGGTGTAAAGAGAACCTTAGTACACTATTGATGGAAATGTAAATTGGTAAACCACTATGTAAAATATTATGGAGGTTCTCAAAAAAGTAAAAATAGAGCTACTATATGATTCAAAGTTCCATTTCTGTGTAAATATCCAGAGGAAATAAAATTTTAATTTCAAAAAGTTGTCTTCATTCTCATGTTTATTGCAGCATTATTCATGACAGCCAAGATATGAAAACAACCTGTGCCCATAAATGGACAAATGGATAAAGACTATGTAAAACACACACACACACATACACATAAATGAAATATAATTCAGCCTTTAAAAAGGACATTCTGCCATTTGCGACAACGTGAATGGACCTGGAGGACATTATGCTAAGTGAAATAAGCCAGGAAGAGAAAGACAAATACAGCATAATCTTACTTATACATGGAATCTAAAAAGGTTGAACTCATAGAAGCAGTAAGTAGAATGATTCCCAGCGGCTGTAGGATGGGGAAATTTGTGTGTTGTTGGTCAAAGGGTACAAAGTTTCAGATATGAAAGGTGAATATGGTCTGAAGATCTAATGTAGAATATGCTGAGTATAGTTGATAATACTGTATTATATACTTGAAATTTACTAACAGTACATCTTATGTGTTCTCAACAAAAGTATGGTAACTATGTGAAATGATGTACATCTTAATTAGTATGATTTTTGTAATTATTTAAATATACACATATAATTCAAAACATGATCTACACCTTAAGTATACGCAATTTTTATTTTTCAATTACACATGAATAGAGGTGAAAAATATAAAATAAAACATCTTATTCTTCCACTTAAAATAGCATACACATAATTTATATGGATATATGGTCATATTTTAATGGAGTAATTATACATATACCTTTTTGATATATACTAGCATACTGTACATGATATTCTACACCTTGCTTTTTCCACATTACAATTATGTTTTTCACTCGTTATTCAGTACTCTATTGTTTGTATTATTACACTTTCTCAATCTTTGTGTTATATTTTTTCTGCAGTCCTAATCATGCGATACGTAAACAAAATGGTCAATGTGTACGTAATTTTGCTAGATAATGCCGTATTTTTATTTACAGAAAATATACATATTATGTTTCCAACAGCAGTTTGTGAGAATGTATTTGCCTCCACAATCTCAGCCATGTATGTAGCAAAATAGTAAACATTTGTCAGCCTAATAGGTGAAAAACAGTATCATGCATGCAGTTTTGGTGTGCTGTTCTCTTGTTATAGACAGGGTTAAGCATCTTTTCATATGTTTAAAGGACATTTGCATTTGTTTTTCTGTGATATGTTTGTTCATGGCTTTATACCACGTTTCTGCAAGGTTATTGGCCTCTTTCTTCTCTATTTTACCAAGCTTTTACAACTTAGAAGTATTAACTCTTTGAAGGTGATATAAATTGTAAATATTTTCCAAATTCTGTCATTTGTTTTTTCACATTGCTCAGAGTATTTATAAATTAAAATATTGTTTTTAATTCAATGTAATAAGTATATTAATATTTGCCTTCATAGTTCTTTATTCTGAATAATAACTAGAAAAGTTTATCTCTTTGGGGGTGACAGAATTCATCCATGTTTTTATTCTATAATATAGGTTTTATTTTTTATTATTTTAAATATCAGATTTATTTTAAATCTATCTTGTTGCATAGTAAAAAAGGATAAATCCAATTTTCTCTTTCTTCCATATGGCTATTCAGTATCCAGATGTGTTTTTTAAGAAATCCATCATTACTCCATTTATTTGAGAACATACAGTAAATTTTCATTAGAAAATAGGCTTGTTCCTTGATTTTATATTTATCTTTCATAATGAAACTAGTTTTGTTTCAGCATTTTAAGAATGAAATATAAAACCATTCAAATCAGAAAGAAAGACATTAAATTATTTCTGTTAGCAAATGACATAATCTTATGTAAAGAAAACCCTGACAAATTTACCAAAAAAAAGTTGGAACAAAAATTAGTAAAGTTAGTTGCAGGATACAAAATAAATGTACAATGATCTTTTACATTTCTATACACTAACAATGGATTATTAAAAGAAGATATTTTTTAAAATCACATTTACAATGGTATCAAAAAGAGTGAAATAATTCAGAATAAGTTTAAACATGGAGGTGAAAATTCTGTACACTGAAAACTATATGATATTGATTAAGGAAACTGAGGAATACACAAATAAATTGAAAGCTATACTGTCCTTATAAATTGGAAAATCTAATATTGCTCAAATGTCCATAATACTCAAAGCAATCTACAGATTCAATACAATCCTTATCAAACTTCCAAAGAGCTTTGTCACAAAAATAGAAACAAACAATTTCTAAAATTTGTATGGAAATACTAAACACTTGAATAGCCAAAGAAATCATGAATAACAAGAACAAAGCTAGGGGAACCACACTTCATGATTTGAAATTGTATTACAAAGCCAAAGTAATCAGAATATGACGGTAATATCATAAAAACAGACACACAGACCGACAGAAGAAAATAGAGAGCCCAGGAATAAACTCACCCATATACAGTCAAATTTTCTTGGACAAGGGCACTAAGAATACACTATGGGAAAAGGATAGCCTCTTTTTTTGTTGTTGTAATTTTTATTTAAAAAAAATTTTTTAATTATACTTTAAGTTCTGGAGTACATGTGCAGAATGTGCAGGTTTGTTACATAGGTATACACGTGCCATGGTGGTTTGCTACACCCATCGTCCCATCATCTACATTGGGTATTTCTCCTAATGCTATCCCTCCCCTATCCCCCCACCCCCTGACAGGCTCAAGTGTGTGATGTTCCCCTCCCTGTGTCCATGTGTTCTCATTATTCAACTCCCACTTATGAGTGAGAACATGCAGTGTTTGGTTTTCTGTTCTTGTGTTAGTTTGCTGAGAATGATGGTTTCCAGCTTCATCCATGTCCCTGCAAAGGACATGAACTCATCCATTTTTATGGCTGCATAGCATTCCATGGTATATATGTGCCACATTTTCTTTATCCAGTCTATCATTGATGGGCATTTGGGTTGGTTCCAAGTCTTTGCTATTTTGAACAGGGCCGCAATAAACATACATGTGCATATGTCTTCATAGTAGAATGATTTATAATCCTTTGGATATATACCCAGTAATGGGATTGCTGGGTCAAATGGTATTTCTGGTTCTAGATTCTTGAGGAATAGCCACACTGTCTTCACAATGCTTGAACTAATTTACACTCCCACCAACAGTGTAAAAGCGTTCCTATTTCTCCACATGCTCTCCAGCATCTGTTGTTTCGTTACTTTTTAATTATCGCCATTCTAACTGGTGTGAGATGATATCTCATTGTGGTTTTGATTTGCATTTCTCTAATGACCAGTGATGATGAGCTTTTTTTTCATATGCTTGTTGGCTGCATAAATGTCTTCTTTTGAAAAGTGTCTGTTCATATCTTTTGCCCACTTTTTGGTGGGGTTGTTTGTTTGTTTGTTTGTTTCTTGTAAATTTGTTTAAGTTCTTGTAGATTCTGGATATTAGTCCTTTGTCATATGGATATATTGCAAAATTTTTCTCCCATTCTGTAGGTTGCATGTTCAGTCTGATGATAGTTTCTTTTGCTGTGCAGAAGCTTATTAATTTAATCAGATCCCAATTGTCAATTCTGGCTTTTGTTGCCATTGCTTTTGGTGTTTTAGTCATGAAGTCTTTGCCCATGCCTATGTCCTGAATGGTATTGCCTAGGCTTTCCTCCAGGGTTTTTATGATTTTAGGTCTTACGTTTAAGTCTTTAATCCATCTTGAGTTAATTTTTGTATAACGTGTAAGGAAGGGATCCAGTTTCAACTCTGTGCATATGGCTAGTGAGTTTTCCCAACACCATTTATTAAATAGGGAATCCTTTCCCCATTGCTTGTTTTTGTCAGGTTTGTCAAAGTTCAGATGATTGTAGATGCATGGCATTATTTCTGAGGCCTCTGTTCTGTTCCATTCATCTATAAATCTGGATAGCCCCTTTTATAAAGGATGTTGGGAAAATTGGCTACCAACATGCAAAAGAATTAAAATGAATCCTTATCTTACATATGAGATGAGTTAAAGACTTAAATGTAAGACTTGAAACAATGAAAATTCTAAAAAACACTTTGAGATAAGGCTTTTTTACATTAGTCTCCGCAATGGTTTTTTGGATATAATATAAAAGCACAGGCAACACAAACAAAAATAAACAAATGACACTACATCAAAAAAGTCTCTGCATTGCAAAATAAATAAATAGATAAATAAATAAATAAAACAACTATTTACAAAATGAAAAGGGAACATATGGAGTGGGAGAAAATATTTGCAAACCATATATCTAAAAAGAGATTAACATCTAAAATATATAAGGGACTCATAAAACTCAATAACCTATAAACAAATAACCTGATTACTAAATGGGCAAATTACCTAAATGACATTTTTCCATGAAAGACATACGAATGGACAACAGGTATATAAAACAAAACTCAACATCGCTAATAATAAGGAAATTTCAAATCAAAACCATAATGAAATAACACTTCACACATCTTAAAATGAGAATTATCAAAAAGACAAAGGAAAGCAAGAGTTGGCAAAGGTGTGAAAAAGAGAAACCCTAGTTCACTATTATGGGAATATATATTACCTATTATGTAAAACAGTGTGGAGATTTCTCAAAATAATAACATAGATAGAACTAACATATAATTTAGCAATTCCAATTCTGTGTGTGTGTGTGTGTGTGTGTGTATCTATCTATAGATATATTTAAAATATATAAATATAAATAAATATGTATGATATATAAATATATAATATATTTATAATATTTTATATATAATATATAATATACATAAATATATATGTATACATGTATATTTATAAAATCTGGATCTAGAGGAGATGTCTGCACTTCCATGTTTATTGCAACATTATTCACAATAGCCTAGATATAAAATCAAACTAGACGTCATTGATGAATGAATGGATAAAGAAAAGTTATATATATATGAATATTATTCAGCCAGATAAAAGGGAATTCTACCATTTGCAGCAGCATAGATAAACCTGGAGAGTATTGGACCACGTGAATCAAGCCAGACATACACACAAATGTATTGTATGATCTCACTTATATGTTGAATTTGAACTCATAGATTCAGAGAGTAGAATGATGGTTGCCAGTGGCTGAAAGGTGGAACAGAGGAAAACATGTTGGTCAAAGTTAATAAACTTTCAGCATCAGATAAATAAGTTCTGATGGTCTTATGTACAGCATGATAAAAACAGTTAAAAATATTTTATTGTATACTTAAAATTTGGGAAGAAATATTTTAAGCATTCTCACCCCAGAAAGGTAGTGACTATGCTAACTCAAAAGGTGTGTTAATTAGCATTATTTTTAAATTATTTCACAAGGTATATATGTATATATATATATATACATATATATATGTATATATATATACATATATATGTATATATATATATATAAAATCACTGCATTGTACACCTTAAATATGTACAATTTTTACTGTGTCAATTTTACCTTAATAAAGCTGAAAGAAAGGAAAATGAAAGGATATAAAATAATATCTCATGAACATCACAACAGAAGGAAAGCAGGGGTGGCCATGCTAACATAATGCAAAGTAGATTTTAAATAAAAAATCTGTACTAGGTGACAATGAGAAATATTATATAATGGTAAAATAACCAATTTACCAATAAGATGTAACAATCATTATTATACATGTACCAAACATTGGAGCTTCTAAATACATTAGGCAAAGTTAGAACTGATGTAAGAAACAGACAGATTTACAATAATAGAAGGAGACTTCAATGTACCATTTTTTACAGAAATAAAAAAATCCATCCTAAAATTTATATGAAATCTCATGGGATCCTGTGTGGCCCAAATGATGGTGAAAAAAGAATAGCTGAAGGTATCATAATTCCTGCTTTCAAAACTTATTACAAAGCTACAGTAATCAAAACAGTGGTACTGGCATGAATACAGACATAAAGACCAACGGGATAGAATTGAGAGCCCAGAAATAGAGCCTTGTATATCTGGTTAAATATTTTTTAACAAAGGTGTCATGACATTAAATGAGAGAAGGACACTCTTTTCAATTAATGGTTTTGGGAAAGCTGGATCTTCACATGCAAATAAATGATGTTGAACATTTAAAGATAAGTAAAGTAAAGATATGCAAAACTTAACTCAAAGTAAATGAGAGACCTAAATATAAGGACTAAATTATAAATATTGTAGAAGCAGACAGGGGAAAAGCTCATGACATTAGATTTGGCAATGTGTTCTTGAATATGACACAAAAATACTGACAATAACATTAAATTGGACCACAGAAAAATTAAAAACTTTCGTACATCAACAACCATAGTCAACTGATTAAAAATGCAACCTATGAAATTAAATGAAGTATTTTCAAATTAAATATCTGATAAGAAATTAATGTTCAGAATATACAATGAACTCCTGCACCTCAACAACAAAAATCAAACAACCAAATTTAAAAAATGGTCAAAAGACATGAATAACTGTTTTTTTTTAAAAAAAGACATACAAATGGCCAAGAAGTACATGAAAAGATTCTTAACTAATCATCAGGGAAATGCAAATCAAAACCACAATGAGATACTACCATATACATATTGGGATAAGTACTATTAAAAAACAGAAAACAGGTTTTCTTCTAGGGTTTTTATGGTTTTAGGTCTTACGTTTAAATCTTTAATCCATCTTGAGTTAATTTTTGTATAAGGTGTAAGGAAGGGGTCCATTTTCAGTTTTTTGCATAGGGCTAGCCAGTTTTCCCAACACCATTTATTAAATAGGGAACCCTTTCCCCATTGCTTGTTTTTGTCAGGTTTGTCAAAGACCAGATGGTTGTAGATGTGTGGTGTTATTTCTGAGGCCTCTGTTCTGTTCCTTTGGTTGATATATCTGTTTTGGTACCAGTGCCAGCCATGCTGTTTTGGTTACTGTAGCCTTGTAGTATAATTTGTTTCAGGTAGCATGATGTCTCCAGCTTTTTTTTTTTTTTTGCTTAGGATTGTCTTGGCTATGTGGGCTCTTTTTTTGTTCCATATGAAATTTAAAGTAGTTTTTTCCAATTCTGTGAAGAAAGTCAATGGAAGCTTGATGGGGATAGCATTGAATCTATAAATTACTTTGGGCAGTATGGCCATTTTCATGATATTGATTCTTCCTATCCATGAGCATGGAATGTTTTTCCATTTGTTTGTGTCCTCTCTTACTTCCTTGAGCAGTGGTTTATAGTTCTCCATGAAGAGGTCCTTCACATCCCTTGTAAGTTGGATTCCTAGCTATTTTATTCCCTTGATAGCAATTGTGAATGGGAGTTCACTCATGATTTGGCTCTCTATTTGTCTGTTATTGTTGCATAGGAATGCTTGTGATTTTTGCACATTGATTTTGTATCCTGAGACTTTGCTGAAGTTGCTTATCAGCTTAAGGAGATTTTGGGCTGAGATGATGGGGTTTTCTAAGTATAAAATCATGTCATCTGCAAACAGAGACAATTTGACTTCCTCTGTTCCTATTTGAATACCCTTTATTTTTTTCTCTTGTCTGATTGCCCTGGACAGAACTTCCAATACTATGTTGAATAGGAGTGGTGAGCGAGGGCATCCTTGTCTTGTGTCGGTTTTTAAAGAGATTGCTTCCAGTTTTTGTCCATTTGGTATGAGATTGGCTGTGGGTTTGTCATAAATAGCTCTTTTTATTTTGAGATACGTTCCATCAACACCTAGTTTATTGAGAGTTTTTAGCATGAAGGGCTGTTGAATTTTGTTAAAGGCCTTTTCTGCATCTATTGAGATAATCATGTGTTTTTTTCCATTGGTTCTGTTTATGTGATGGATTACGTTTATTGATTTGTGTATGTTGAACCAGCCTTGCATCCCAGGGATGAAGCCCACTTGATCATGGTGAATAAGCTTTTTGATGTGCTACTGGGTTCGGTTTGCCAGTATTTTATTGTGGATTTTTGTATCGATGTTCATCAGGGATATTGGCCTGAAATTTTCTTTTTTTGTTGTGTCTCTGCCAGGTTTTGGTTTCAGGATAATGCTGGCCTCATAAAATGAGTTGGGGAGGATTCCCTCTTTTGCTATTATTAGGAATAGTTTCAGAAGGAATGGTACCAGCTCCTCTTTGTACCTCTGGTAGAATTTGGCTGTGAATCCATCTGGTTCTGGACTTTTTTGGGTTGGTAGGTTATGAACTACTGCCTCAATTTCTGAACTTGTTATTGGTCTATTCGGGGATTTGACTTCTTCTTGGTTTAGATTTGGGAGGGTGTATGTGTCCAGGAATGTATTCCTTTCTTCTAGATTTTCTAGTTTATTTGTGTAGAGGTGTTTATAGTATTCTCTGATGGTAGTTTGTATTTCTGTGGGCTCAGTGGTGATATCCCCCGTATCATTTTTTTTTTGGCATCTATTTGATTCTTCTCTCTTTTCTTCATTAGTCTGGCTAGGAGTCTATCTATTTTGTTGATCTTTTCAAAAAACCAGCTCCTGGCTTCATTGATTTTTTGAAGGGTGTTTTGTTGTCTCTATTTCCTTCAGTTCTGCTCTGATCTTAGTTTTTTCTTGTCTTCTACTAGCTTTTGAATTTGTTTGCCCTTGCTTCTCTAGTTCTTTTAATTGTGATGTTAGGGTGTCAATTTTAGATCTTTCCTGCTTTCTCCTGTGGGCATTTAGTGCTATAATTTTCCCTCTAAACACTGCTTTAGCTGTGTGCCAGAGATTCTGGTATGTTGTGTCTTTGTTCTCGTTGGTTTCAAATAACTTATTTATTTCTGTCTTGATTTCATTATTCACCCAGTAGTCATTCAGGAGCAGGTTGTTCAGTTTCCATGTAGTTGTGTGGTTTTGAGTGAGTTTCTTAATCCTGAGTTCTAATTTGATTGCACTGTGGTCTGAGAGACTGTTTGTTATGATTTTTGTTATTTCGCATTTGCGAGGAGTGTTTTACTTCCAATTATGTGGTCAGTTTTAGAATATGTGTGATGAGGTGCTGAAAAGAATGTATATTCTGTTGATTTGGGTTGGAAAGTTCTGTAATTGTCTATTAGGTCTGCTTGGTCCAGAGCTGAGTTCAAGTCCTGAATATCCTTGTTAATTTTCTGTCTTGTTGATATGTCTAATATTGACACTGGGGTGTTAAAGTCTCCTGCTACTATTGTTTGCGAGTCTAAGTGCCTTTCTAGGTCTCTAAGAACTTGCTTTATGAATCTGGGTGCTCCTGTATTGGGTGCATATTTATTTAGGATAGTTAGCTCTTCTTGTTGTGTTGATCCCTTTACCTTTATGTAATCCCCTTGTCTCTTTTGATCTTTGTGGGTTTAAAGTATTTCTTATTAGAGGCTAGGATTGCAACCCGTGCTTTCCTTTTTTTTTTTTTTTTCTTTGCTTTCCATTTCCCTAGAAGAAAACCCAGGCAATATCATTCAGGACATAGGCATGGGCAAAGACTTCATGACTAAAACAACAAAAACCATGGCTACAAAATCCAAAATCGAAAAATGAAATCTAATTAAAGTGTTTTTGCACAGCAAGAGAAACTATCATCAGAGTGAACAGCCAACCTACATAATGAGAGAAAATTTTTGCAATCTGTCCATCTGACAAAGGGCTAATATCCAGAATCTACAAAGAACTTAAAGAAATGTACAAGAAAAAACAAACAATCCCATCAAAAAGTGGGCAAAAGATATAAACAGACACTTCTCCAAAGAAGACATTTATGCAGCCCACAAGCATATGAAAAAAAAATCATCGCTGCTCATTAGAGAAATGCAAATCAAAACCACAATGAGATAGCATCTCACGCCAGTTAGAAAGAAGATCATTACTTCCTCTTTTCCTTCAAAGAGAATAAAATACCTAGGAATCCAACTTACAAGGGACGTGAAGGACCTCTTCAAGGAGAACTACAAACCACTGCTCAATGAAATAAAAGAGGATACAAACAAATGGAAGAACATTTCATGCTCATGGTAGGAAGAATCAATATCATGAAAATGGCCATACTGCCCAAGGTAATTTATAGATTCAATGCCATCCCCATCAAGCTACCAATGACTTTCTTCACAGAATTGGAAAAAAACTACTTTAAAGTTCATATGGAACCAAAAAACAGCCCACATCGCCAATTCAATCCTAAGCCAAAAGAACAAAGCTGGAGGCATCACGCTACCTGACTTCAAACTATACTACAAGGCTACAGTAACCAAAACAGCATGGTACTGGTACCAAAACAGAGATATAGATCAGTGGAACAGAACAGAGCCCTCAGAAATAACGCTGCATATCTACAACTATCTGATCTTTGACAAACCTGACAAAAACAAGCAATGGGGAAAGGATTCCCTATTTAATAAATGGTGCTGGAAAAACTGGCTACCCATATGTAGAAAGCTGAAACTGGATCCCTTCCTTACACCTTATACAAAAATTAATTCAAGATGGATTGAAGACTTAAACGTTAGACCTAAAACCATAAAAACCCTAGAAGAAAACCTAGGCATTACCATTCAGGACATAGGCATGGACAAGGACTTCATTTCTAAAACACCAAAAGCAATGGCAACAGAAGCCAAAATTGACAAATGGGATCTAATTAAACTAAAGAGCTTCTGCACAGCAAAAGAAACTACCATCAGAGTGAAGAGGCAACCTACAAAATGGGAGAAAATTTTCTCAACCTACTCATCTGACAAAGGGCTAATATGCAGAATCTACAATGAACTCAAACAAATTTACAAGAAAAAAACAAACAACCCCATCAAAAAGTGGGCAAAGGACATGAACAGACCCTTCTCAAAAGAAGACATTTAT
The DNA here is from genome assembly GCF_000001405.40 of Homo sapiens. Classification (NCBI taxonomy): domain Eukaryota; kingdom Metazoa; phylum Chordata; class Mammalia; order Primates; family Hominidae; genus Homo; species Homo sapiens. The sequence continues at coordinate 80,188,331 of NC_000023.11, read as the reverse complement.
GCAGCCAAAAACCACATGAAAAAATGCTCACCATCACTGGCCATCAGAGAAATGCAAATCAAAACCACAATGAGATACCATCTCACACCAGTTAGAATGGCAATCATTAAAAAGTCAGGAAACAACAGATGCTGGAGAGGATGTGGAGAAATAGGAACACTTTTACACTGTTGGTGGGACTGTAAACTAGTTCAACCCTTGTGGAAGTCAGTGTGGCGATTCCTCAGGGATCTAGAACTAGAAATACCATTTGACCCAGCCATCCCATTACTGGGTATATACCCAAAGGACTATAAATCATGCTGCTATAAAGACACATGCACACATACGTTTACTGCAGCACTATTCACAATAGCAAAGACTTGGAACCAACCCAAATGTCCAACAATGATAGACTGGATTAAGAAAATGTGGCACATATACACCATGGAATAGTATACAGCCATAAAAAAATGATGAGTTATGTCCTTTGTAGGGACATGGATGAAATTGGAAATCATCATTCTCAGTAAACTATCGCAAGAACAAAAAACCAAACACCACATATTCTCACTCATAGGTGGGAATTGAACAATGAGAACACATGGACACAGGAAGGGGAACATCACACTCTGGGGACTGTTGTGGGGTAGGGGAAGGGGGGAGGGATAGCTTTAGGAGATATACCTAATGCTAAATGACGAGTTAATGGGTGCAGCACACCAGCATGGCACATGTATACATATGTAACTAACCTGCACATTGTGCACATGTACCCTAAATCTTAAAGTATAATAATAATAAAATAAAAAAAATCGGTTAAAAGGGTAAATTTCATGTTCTGTGCTTTTTAACCACAATCTATATAAATAAATAAATAAATAAATAAATAAATAAATAAATAAATGTTGTATGACAATAATATGTAGCCAACAAAATTATGCTTTCTGTGAATTTTAATGACATGAAAAAATGCATATAATGTGAATGAAAAAAAGCATTATACAAAACCTGATATACAATATGGTAAAAATGATGTAAGATGTACATGTGTGTAAAATTATATATAAGTAAATCCATAAATTTGTATGTATTTTATGGTTGTATGTTACATATAGCAAATAAATATGTGTATATGCAAAAAAAAAAAAAGAATGGCGATCATTACAAAGTCAGAAAACAACAGATTCTGAAGAGGATGTGGAGAAATAGGAATGCTTTTAGACTGTTGGTGGGAGTGTAAGTTAGTTCAACCGTTGTAGAAAACAGTGTGGCGATTTCTCAAAGATCTAGAATCAGAAATACCATTTGACCCAGCAATCTCATTACTGGTTATTTACCCAAAAGATTATAAATAATTCTACTATAAAGACACATGCACATGTATGTTTATTGCAGCACTATTCACAACAGCAAAGACTTGGAACCAACCCAAATGCCCATCAATGATAGACTGGATAAAGAAAATGTGGCACATATACACCATGGAATACTATGTAGCCATAAAAAAGGATGAGTTCATGTCCTTTGCAGGAACTTGGATGAAACTGGAAACCATCATTCCCAGCACACTAACACAAGAACAGAAAACCAAACATCGCCATGTTCTCACTCATAAGTAGGAGTTGAATAATGAGAACACATGGACACAGGGAGGGGAACATCACACACTGGGGCCTGTGAGAGGGTGGGGAGCTAGGGGAGGGATAGCATTAGGAGAAATACCTCATGTAGATGATGGGTTGATGGGTACAGCAAACTACCATGGCACGTGTATACCTATGTAAGAAAACTGCACGTTCTGCACATGTACCCCAGAACTTAAAGTATAATAAAAAATAAAAATAAAAAACAGAAAACTATAATTGTTGAGAACGTGGAATAATTGGAACCGATGTACGTTGTTGGTGAAAATGAAAAATGGTGCAGTTGCTATGAAGAACAGTATGGTTGTTTCTCAAATAAATCTCTGAACATATAATTACCATATAATCCTGCAATTCTATTTTAGGGCATAAAACCAAAAGATTTCAAAGCCATGTATTAAAGAGTTATTTTTACAACTATGTTCATAGCAGCATAATTCACTATAGCTAAAATATGGAATCAACTCACACATGTATTAATGAATGAATGGATAAGCAAAGTGTGGTATATACATGCAATGAAATATTATTTAACCTTAAAAAAGGATTTCTTATGGTCTTCAATATGGATGAGACTTGAAGACATCAGGCTAAGTTAAATAAGTCAGTCACAGAAAGGTAAATACCGGGTGGAGATGGGGATAGGAAGTGGCTTGATGAATATAGAGTTACCATTTCATAAGATAAAAAGAGATCTGATGGTTGATTGCAACAGTATTAATGTACTTAGCACGACTAAATTGTACATGTTAAGTGATTAATGTTAAATTTCCTGTTACGTGTAATTTTTCCACCATTAAAAATAAAGAAGTAGGCCTGGCTCAGTGGCTCACACCTGTAATCCCAGCACTTTGGGAGGCCGAGGCACGTGGATCACCTGAGATCAGGAGTTCGAGACCAGCCTGACCAACACGGTGAATCCCCATCTCTACTAAAAATACAAAAATTAGCAGGGTGTGGTGGCAGATATCTGTAATCCCAGCTACTTGGGAGGCTGAGGCAGGAGAATCACTTGAACCCAGGAGGTGGAGGTTGCCATGAGCCGAGATCAACCCATTGCACTCCAGCCTGGGTGACAGAGTGAGACTTTGTCTCAAAAAAAAAATGAAGAAGTAAAAAATAATAATAATAATTTAAAAGTGCACACACACACACAAGCACACATGCACTGCTCTGTGTATGCACACAGAGAGAAAATGAAATTGTGAATATAACAGAATGTTGAAAATCGGTGAGCATAGAACAGTATGAGTGCTCATAGTTTGATTCTTGCAATTTTTTGTAGATATGAAATATTTAAAATAGCTAAGATTATTGTTAAGAAATGAAAATGACAAGATAATAAGGTTTAAAAGTTCCAAAATCAAGGGACATCAGAATGGGCAAAAAAATGGGATAAATACAATAACTTTACTAATTGTCATGAGTTTCTTAGATCACTTGATAATTAAATGAAAAATTACAATACTATCTGAATGTAGTGCTCAGTGTATATAGAGAAAAACATAAGACAATTATATTTATAAAGTGGGGAGGGAAATGGGACCTAAGTGCTAGAAAGTTTTTACCCTAGACTCAAAGTTGCTGCCAGTGGACTCTGATAACTTAGGTATGCATGTTGCAATACCTAGAGCAACCACCAAGAATATAATATAGAGCAATATAGTCAAAAGCACTATACATGTCAAGATGGGATTCTATGATAAGAACACATGGACACATAGGGTGGAACAACACACACTGGGACCTGTCATGGGGTCGGGGGTAAGAAGGGGGAGAGCATTAGGAAGAATAGATAATAGATGCCTGGCTTAGTACCTGGGTGATGGGATGATCTGTGCAGCAAACCACCGTGGTACACATTTATCTGTGTAACAAACCTGAACATCCTGCACATGTACCCCTGAACTTAAAAGTTGGAAAGAAAAAAAAAGATAGGATTCTAAAAATGTTCCAAGTAACTCACAGGAATGTAATAAACAGAGCAAAGAAAATAAAAGAAACAAATAAAAAAAATAAAAATATATAACCAGTTTCTGCCCTAGCATAAAAACAATAATCTTAAATGTAATTAGTCTAAAAATACCAATAAAAAACAGAGATTGGCAGAATGGATTAAAAAATATGATACGACTGCATGCTCTATAAAAGAAACTCACTTTAGATAAAACTTAGGTTGAAAGTAAAAGGATGGAAAAATAAAATTGCCAAATTTATATTTGATTTTTGGTAAGTTTGTGCTAACATTATTTATAACAAATAACTGTTTATAACAAATTATTATTATGGCAAAAATTCAAAATTCTTGTCATTTTTTACCTAGGCACTCCTTTTTAAGATTTTTTCATGGTTTAAACTATTTTAGGTCTGTGCTAAATATCTGGTGCTACCTATTTTATGAAAAAAAGTTTTATTTGGCAAACAGTTCTGCAGGCTATACAAGAAGCATAGCACCAGTATCTACTGCTGGAGAGAGCTTCAGGCTGCTTCCACTCATGGTGGAAGGCAAAGGGAAGCTGCATGTACAGAAATCACATGGAGAGAGGGGAACCAGGAGAGAAAGCAGAGTAGGTGCCAGGCTCTTTTCAACAACCAGTTCTCATGGGAACAAAGAGTGAGCACTCACTCACACCCACAAGAATGGCACCAAGCTATTCATAAGAAATCTGCCCTCATGACCCACACACTTCCCACCAGGCGCCACATCCAACACTGGGATTACATTTCAAAATGAGACTCGGTAGGGCCAAACAAATCATATCCAAACCATAGCATAAACTTCTTATTTTTAGATAACTTTGGACTTACAAAATAATTGTTAAAATAATAGAGTGTTTTTGGTCTTCACTGAGCTTTCCCTTATTTTTACTTTTTACATTTTGGTTATAAACCTTGGTATAATACTATTGACTAAATTAACTTGATAAGAATTTATTAAGATCTCACTAGTTTTGTTACTATCGTCCTTTTTTCTGTTCCAGATCTAATCCATTATCTCATGTTATAGTATCTCATGTCTTCTTAGTTTCCTTTAATTATGACAGTTCTTAAGTCTTTTCTGGTCTTTTTTGATCTTGAGGTTTTTGAACAGTACTAGCTAGTGATTTTGGTTAATACCCTTCAATTGAGGCTCTTTGGATGTTTTCTCATGATTAGACTGAGGTGCATTATACAGGAAAGGTTACAGTGTTTATCTGCCCTTCTCTGTGTTTATATCAATGGGTATGTCATCTTGATATGTATTATGGGTGATAATCTTCATCATCTGGATAAGGTGGTGTCCATGACTATTACCCACTGTAATTTTTTCTCTTTGTAGTTACTAAATATTTGGGGGAAATAAAGTATGCAATATTCTATTTCTGCTTAAAATTTGCACACTAATATTAGCATTCTTCGGTTGATTTTGCCTACAGTAATTCATACTGTAATATTCTAATGGTGATTTTCTAATTCCTCACTCCTTCTTATATTTATTAATTGGAATTATTTATAAGAAACAGTTGTTTTTACACCTCCATTTATTTTATTATCTGTTTATAAAAACAGACTAATAGATATTTATTATATTCTTTGGGTATTAGTCATATTTTACCTTTATTTTGTTTGTCGCTCAAATTGTTCCAACTTTGGCCATTAGAATCTCTTTCAGATTGGTCCTTGTGACCTTTCAACATTCCTGACCCATCCTTTTGTTGTTGTTGTTGTTGTTGAGCATTTCTTTTTACATTCATCACCACAAGATGCATCAGGTGCCCATTTTCTGTTTTTCCTTCTCCAGCCCCAGAATCAACCAGTCAGTCATTTATTGGAGAATATCTTTCAAAACCATAATCTATGCCATAAATGTGCTTGCTATTGAGACTATCACTACTTCTAGCCCCTCTTGATGCAGAACAGGTGAGCTCCAAATTGGGGCTTAGCCTATGACGATTCTTGGATTTCCAAGAAATGATTCAGTGGTGATCTGTTGTTAGGGTAGAAGAACATCTTTATTGAAGCAGTAGTGTTATAGTTCCAGCCATGTTACAGCTCTGTTACTGCTCCTACAGAGGAGGGCTACCCCACAGGCAGTGTGCTGAGAATAGCAGCTCAGGGCAGTTTTGCAGTCATATTTATACCTATTATTAATTAAAGATACATTAAGGGGTAGTTTATGCAGAAATTTCTAGGAAAATGATGATAACTTTTGAGTCATCAGGTCATTGCCATGGAAAGTGACAGTAACTCCCAGGTGTTGCCATGGCAATGGTAAACTGACATGGCACACTAGTGAGTGTGTATTACAGAAAGCTTCTTCTGCACCATTTCTGTTTTAGCTAGTCCTCCATTTGGTCCAGTGTCTGAGCCCCACCTCTAGAGTTGAGTCTTGCCTCCTATCTCATTCCCTACTCAGACAATAGATACCCCTCCTTAATCTTAAGGGAGGTGAAGAAGGGCAGAAGTCTGTATTCTGTAACTGCTTCCTGCTGAGTTTGTGGGCATAGGACCTGCCTAGCATTGGAGGAGTAAAAACCTCTGAATACCTGATATAAGGGGCCCAGAGGCAGGATCCTTTCATTCTCTGGGTGAGCAGGCAGGATGGGTTGGAAGGCTTATGCCAGCATTGTCTTTACCTGAAACTGTTGTAATCTAGAAGACACAAACTTTACTTAGAGATTAAACAAGCAAGGGCCAAAAATTAGTAACAACAAGACAGCTATTAAAGGTCCCAGAAAAGTTAAAAAACATATGAGACCTGGGAAGGCACTTTTGATAGTCAACCAGAAATAGTTGGAATTAGTGCCCTTGTTATATCTGTGTAACTAGGTAGCTTACTCATAGATCTTTGAATGTTAATCTCAACTTGTCCAGAGTTGTTAATATATGTAGAGCAGGTTAATATGTACACAGACTCCACCTTGTTCCACTAGTAAATAATCCAATGCTAGTCTGTTATCAGGAACTACATTTGTCAAATAGTCTAAAGATTCTTGAATTCCTTTTTGTGCCTGACCTGTGCTGATGGCTAAGAACTCTAGGGTTTGAGTCAAGTTCTTTAGGGTTTACCAAGGGTGCTGCTAATTCTATTACTGCCCCAATTCCTGCCAGAATTAACCCTATTGCTTGTTTCTTGGCTCTTATGGGGTTATATAAAGTGACTCCTGGAGGGGAAAGGGTGGTCAACAAACATTCACCTCTGTTCCAACTTTACAATATACAAGGGAAAGCTACTCCCAGAAGAACAGGTGGCTGCCTGTGGAGTTGACAGCAGTTACAGCATGTGACTTCTTCCCATTCATGGCCACAAACAAAAATAAGCCCAGTTGGGACACAGAGGCCCTACTGTGTGTGATGTTTATCCTTTGCTGCCAAGTCGGGCCTATAGAGATATTTTTTCTCCTGTTCCAATGGGAGTGGCTGAACAATCTTTGTTTTCCAGAAGGGGGCAGTGTTTCCACCTTCCCATACCAGGCAGCTGTTTTTTCCTTGTATGTTCTGATCCAGGAGAAGGCCCTAATATATGGTCTCCTTGCTTACAAGTAGGATCCCATTTACCTTATTGTGGCTTTGGGAGCTTGGCAACTAAAGTTGGATCAGAGCATCACAGGAAAGCTTCCAGTTTTGTATCATTAACACAACAGTGGGAGCAAAAGGTAGAATCATTAGTGCAACAGAGATATAGACACTCAACCTCCCAGGTCCAGGTAATAGTGATTGTGGATGTCCAGGTGGAATCCATTAAGTGGGAGAGAGTTTCACTTAACATGTAGGGGTTTGGGTATTTCAGGATTTCTATGGTGAGTTATAGGGTTGCGGGGGATGGTCATATGATTTTCTAGGCAAGCCCAAAGATAGAATTCTCTGTCTCGAGGATATTGATTACAAATCCAGCAAAATGATGCTATGATTTTTGAAATATTTACCATAGAGTTATGTTCCCACCCCCAGTTGATCAGGTAATCAGAAGAGCAAACAGGACAAACAATGACAACATGGCATCTGGTTGAGCCTTAGAGTGGCATCTACACCCAAGAAGGACAAAAAAGGTCTTTCCCAAGAAGTTGGCTAAAGCGACAGAAAAGAAGTATTATAATCAGGAAGAAGAGAAAAATTAAATTCCTATTCCTTCCTACAGCATCACATTACCACTCCTGTCTGGGTATTTATTCTTAAAAGAATAAATTTTATTTAAAAATAGGTAGCAGAAGTCCTCCAAGGCCTCATAGATGTAGATTATGGTGTCCTTCTTTTGTACCTGCAACTCATAACAAACAGGTTTAATCTTAAATAGTTGTACTCAACTAGTTATTCCCTGAAGTTTAACAATAGTGGGGGCACTCAACAACATCTGATAGGAGTCCTTCCATTTTGGTTGTAAATGATCCTCAGGGGATCCTTCTTTACAAGTTTTTAGCAAGACTAAGTCTCCTGGGTTGGATAGGGGGGTTAATTCTTTTCCTTGTGGGATAGGAAAATATTTTGTTTCCATAGGCTTGATGGGCCTTTTGAACCTGGTCTAAGTTGATAATATTGGCGAGCATTCTATGTATCTCTTCATCAAACAGTACCTAAGGCCGAGAATGCCTGCTGTGTCACTTTAGCTGTGAAGGAGGGTCAGTTTTTACCCCACAGACTTTTATGTAAACCAAACCTTTGGATAATTTAAACAAAAATTTGAATACTTCTATTGCCTTCTCTATCCTTGTGGGAATGTCTCTATTCACCCAGTGAAAGAGTATATAAATATTAACAAATATTTTTAATTCCTGTATAATGGCATCTGATTTAAATTCATTTGTCAGTCTTCTCAAGGGTGTGTTCCCCAATGTTGTACAGCTCTGAGTAGGAATGGGAGTATGTGGTGGCTTTCTGGGTTATTATGGGCACAAGTTCACAGACCCTGGTTACCCTTTTTGCAGTCTGGAATAGTTTCTTTCCTAAGAAGATTTGAAAAACCAGTTTGAATAGGGAGTTCCATTCCAAATGTGAGGAGTTATGAAAATACTTAAATATTTTTCATTTGCTCAGCCTTGGGAAGAAAGAGTTTGTTGCTTCCTAGTAACCATCCTGAGGGATTCTTTGTGAACTTTTCTGTTCTGCCCATTTAATTTCCTCAGGGGTATAGTATGGTGTTGCTGACATGGGTGGAGTACCTGGCATTAATACAGTGGTCTGTACTACCTGTGTTGCTTTAGTTATGGTCTTAGCTGCTCTGTTTGCCAGAGCATTTCCTTTGATAATAGAAGTGTCTGCCTTTTGGTATGAATAATTGCTACCTCCTTTGGGAGCTGGACAGTATCTAAAAGTTCGAAGATCTCAGATTGATGTATGGGGGATTCTTTAGCTGTTAGCAGTTTCCTTTCTTTCCATATAGCAGCATGAGCATGTAGCATACAAACCCGTATTTGGAATTGGTAAATATATTGACTCTTAAGTCTTTTCCCAACTGGAGGGCCCTAATTAAAGCAATTAGTTCCACTTTTGCACTGAAGTCTGGGGTGGCAAACTTTTGCCTCAATGATCTCTTATTGGCTAGCTACCATATAACGACCCTTCTTACTCCCTCATGCATAACGCCACTCCCATTTGTAAGCCACTCAATATTGGGATTAGGAAGAGATTCATTTTTGAGGTTAGAGTTGGTCCATCCTATGATTTCTACACAGGATTGAATGAGTTGGGGATTCATTTCGTGGGATGTGAAGTCTGGAAACAGGATAGCAGGGTTTAAAACTCAACATACTTTAAGGGCAAACCTGGGGTGTCAAGCAGAAGAGCTTGATATTTAAGTAAGTGACTTCATGTTAGTTATTGGTATCCTTTTGCTTCTAGGACACCCTGTACATGGTGGAAGGTTTGCAACATCTAATTGTTGTCCGAAGGTAAACTTACTGGCTTCTATTGATAGAGTGGTGGCAGCCACAGCTCACAAGCATCCTGGCCATACAGTTTTCATCTGGTCTAGCTTTCAATAAAAGTAAACCACTGGTCTAGGGCTATTTCCAACCCTTTGAGTTAGGATGCCCAAAGTCATCCCTTGTTTTTCAAACACATAGTAGGTGAAAGGATTTTCTATGTTAGGGACTCCCAAAGCAGGAGCTAATTTCAGGTTTTCTTTAGGGTTGAGAATGGATGTTGGAAGGTTCCATATGAATTCAAAGGCTTGTGGTCCCTCCATTTTAAACATTCATAGAGTGCCTTTTGTATAATCCCAAACCTAGGAATCTAGATCTGGCAGAATCCTGCCATTTTCCAAAAGAGTCTTAGTCTGAGGGGGCTGGAGTGACAGGATGGTCTCTTTTAATTCCTGGGCCAAAGTTCTTGTCTCAGAAGTGAGCACATACCCCTAATATTTAACCTTTTTCACAGAGATCTGGGCCTTGTTGGGTAATATCTGACACCCTCACTTTCCCAGAAAATTAAGGAGCTGAATTGTGTTTCTGTCAGAGTCTTCCCTAGTAGGGCTAGAAATTAATAGATCATTTACATATTGTAAGAGAGACTGTAGTTAACTGTAGTTCTCTTAACTGTAGTTCCCTTACTTGAGAAGTGATATGCAGTAGAATGGGGATCTTCTCCTTCTCTGTGTTAAGGCAAGAACTTAGAGCTAGGAAAAATGTCCCTTCCTGGCTTGCTGCCTTCTCATGAGGCACCCCAAATTAAACTGTGGCCTGTAATTGGAAAAGTAAGTCTTTCCACAGTAGAGAGATAGAATACTCAGGCATAAGTAATAACCTGTGGGAAAATGTATGGTCCACCACAGTGCAATGAAGGAGGTGGGTGAATCTCCTAATTTTTGGCTGGCCATAAATTCTTGTTATTGTACAAGAGTGGAAAGACAGTGGCCCAGAAGAAATGGTTTATAACCGGGAAGAATGCTCTAATTTCCAACACAAACTTAATATTTGTACCTGTTACATCAAGGGTTAACTGAGGCTACACCATGGAGATGGTAAGGTGTCCAGTAAGAGCTGTAGAGGTCCCGAGTCCCCATTAGGCCTCTGCTTTCTTGGCTATTATGGGTCTGGGTGTCTCATGCTCTCTCTTTAGCCTGGGGAAGTCCTTCCTCCAGTGGCCTTCTTGCTTACAGAAGGCATATTTATTTTTGGCCAAGAAGTTGGTGAGTGAAGGGCTCTTATCTGAGCATCCTAGATGCTAATTTTACCACTTTCTTTCAAGGTGGATAACCCTGAGGCAGCAAGGGGCCTAAAGCAGCCACTAATAACACTAATAATTGTGCTTTTTGGCTAAGTCTTTTGGTATTTGCCTCTTTCTCTGCCCTATCTCAATTGTTGCACACCCCAAAGGCAATGTCTAAGAGTTGACTAATAGGGATTTGGGGTCCCATTGCTACTTTTTATATTATAGCTTCCTCCCAACGTTAGGGGAAGATGAAGTAATACAAGGCACACCCAGGAGAGCTCATCCTTCTGGGGATTCTGGGACTCTATTATTATATTTTCTGAGTGCCTCAACCAAACAGCCCTAAAATAGAGTGAGAATTTTAACTTTCTCCCAAGTTACTTCTCTCACCTTATCATAATTAACTGGCTTAACTACCCACATTTTCAGCATACAATTTCTGCATTCAAGATCTTGAGACCCTCTCTGGTAATTCCATTGATTGTCTAGCTCTGGAACTGCATCTCCTCCCATATTATAAATGGCATGGCCTGCATTACACACAGCCACTCCATCTGCATGTTCATGAGCAGTACCTAGAATTATTTTTCTTCTGCAGTACAAAAATCAGATAATAATATTTGCATGTTATGCCAAGTGAAATCAAAATACATGGTCAACTTAACAAATTTTTCTACAAACTTCCCTGGATCTTCCAAAAATCAACCAACTTTTTCATTGCTTAAAGCCAAATCAGACATGGAAAAAGGCACATATACTCTGATTTTTTTTTTCATCTCCATTAGCTACCCCCCATGATGGACACAAGTTTGATTTTGGGGGCTCATATGGGGTCCCACTCCTGGTGGTATTGCTTGGGCTTACTTCCTCAAGCAGTGGGGGATATGGGCCAGGGCTTGTTGGATAAGGAAAATGGGTACCTGATGACCTTGGGGTATAATCCTGCATTAGAGAACAGGTAGGGCCCCCCTCATAACTAGGGGACTGAGGAGGCTCTGAAGTAGGGGCATGAGTGTCCTAGGGGGAACAGCTAGCAGGCAGTAATCTAGGATATCTGGTGTAGCTTCTGGGTGCCTGGGAATATCATAAGCCACATTCTACAGCTAGCCTTTAGAATCCTGGTAGAGGGCCATAAAAGCCTGTACATAAGGAACTTCTTCCCATTTTTCTTACTTTTCACAAAGCAAATCTAATTGTACAATATAATTATAACTTAAGGAAACATGCCTAGGCCAAATCTGTTGGTTTGACACTTTGTATTGAACCCAAACATTATTGCAATAGTAAATGAGGTTTTCTTTTTCAATTTGCTTAATAATTCGAATGTGCTCCAATTGTCTAAAAGACACCCAAGTAGTGGCAAGTCTTTTTGGATGCTTATTGTTGTCCCCATGTTCAGTAAGGATCTCTACAGGGGGTTTCAGTTAACCTAAGTTTAACAAATTATTACTTTTCTCTTTAAATTTCCCACTTTCTACAAAATATAGATAGCAATGTGTTACAAAGGCAGATTATGAACTGCAAATGAACAGTTTGTTGCTGAGCCTAAATTCCACAGGTAGCAAGGGTTGGGAAGAGAGGGGGGCTTAACAAATGATTATTGTGGGAGGGACAAGAGAAGGAGTCAACAGCATTGCCCAAGTGGAGACCTCAGAGGCCTGGACTTGCTTAATAACCTACAAAGCAACAGAAACACTGAAAAAAAATGTTGGATGGCCACTTGTATACAGCTTTAGGAGGCTGTTCATCAAGCCAGAGGCTTGGTAAATCCCAGGTTTTCTTATCAAGAGGGGCTTCAACAAAGCAGTAGAAAGTTAGTATACAGGAGAGGGTCAGAAACTGGCTATTAGGAAATAATACTTCTTTCTTCAGGGCAAAAAATAAAGTGAAACTGTTACACTCTCATGAATGTACCACACTGTAGCAGTCTGTCATTGTTAGGTATCACCCAGAGTTCTGTGTCTCATGGCCAAGAAAATTAAGAAGTGTGGACACAAAGAGTGAGGTAGGAGTGAAAGTTTAATAAGCAATAGAAAGTTCTCTGCAGTGGAGAGGGAGGGCTGAGTGGGTTGTCCACTATGAGGCTGGGTCTGGCGGTTTTACAGACTGGGAAGGGAAGAAATGTGCTGACTGGTCTTGGAGAAAGTATTACTCAGCCTGGCCCAGGACCTTGGCCCGGGACCAATCAGGAGATGAAGTGAAAGCTTGGTCTGAGACATTGGCCTGGGACCAGAGAATGAAGTGATTATTCATAGTGGCTCAGCTCACAGTCCAAAGCATGTCCAGAAAAGAAATGAAAGTGCCCACTGGAACCAGAGCCCACCATGTACATGCCCAGAAAAGGAGAAGAGACTATTTCCTAGAAGCCCACTGGTTATACAAAAGACAAAGGCATTTCTATGTTGGGTCTTGTTCCCTTATCAGTGTAGCCATGGGAATGTCTTTAGGCACAAATAACAAGGCGTTTTCTGTTGGGCCTTGTTCCTTTATCTGAGTGAGCTGGAGGTTTCTGCAATTTCATTTTCTGTGCCTGCAGCCTGATTTTTCAGGCTGTTTCTCTGTTTAAAGGAGTTTTACCCATCCATAAGCATGGGATGTGTTGCCATTTCTTTGTGTTGTCTACAATTCCCACCAAAATACCAGAATCATTCTTCACAGAGCTACAAAAAAAAAAAGAAAAAAAATCCTAAAATTCACATGGGGCCAAAAAAAAGCCTTCATAGCCAAAGCAAGACTAAGCAAAAAGAACAAATATGGAGGCATCACAATACCTGATTTCAAACTATATTATAAGGCCATAGTCACCAAGACAGCATGGTACTGGTACGAAAATAGGCACATAGAGCAATGGAACAGAATAGAGAACCCAGAAATAAACCCAAATACTTACAGCCAACTGATCTTTGACAAAGCAAACAAAAACATAAAGTGGGGGAAAGGACAACCTTTTCAACAAATGGTGTGGGGATAATTGGCAAGCCGTATGTAGGAGAATAAAACTGAATCCTCATGACTCACCTTATACAAAAATCAACTCATGATGAATCAAGTACTTAAATCTAAGTCCTGAAACTATAAAAGTTTAGAAGATAACATCCGAAAAATCCTTCTAGACATTGGCTTAGGCAAAGATTTCATGACCAAGAACCGAAAAGCAAATGCAGCGAAAACAAAAACAAAAAAATAGGTGGGACTTAATTAAACTAAAGAGCTTTCTCACGGCAAAAGGAATACTCAGCAGAGTAAACAGACAACCCAAAGAGTGGTATCTTCACAATATATACATCTGACAAAGTACTAACATCCAGAATCTACAAGGAACTCAAAGAAACTAGCAAGAAAAACAAACAAACAAACAAACAATCCCATCAAAAAGTGGGCTAAGGACATGAATAGACAATTCTGAAAAGAAGATATACAAATAACCAACAAACATATGAAAGAATGCTCAATATCACTAATGATCAGGGAAATGCAAATCAAAACCACAGTGCAATACCACTTTACTCCCACAAGAATGGCCATAATTAAAAAACCAAAAAATAATAGATGTTGACATGGATGTGGTGAAAAGGGAAACTTCTTCACTGTTGTTGGGAATGTAAACTAGTACAACAGTGTACAGATTCCTTAAAGAACTAAACGTAGAACTACCATTTGATCCAGCAATCCCACTACTGGGTATCTACCCAGAGGAAAAGAAGACATTACATGAAAAAGATACTTGAACACACGCTTATAGCAGCATAGTTCGCAATTGCAAAAATATGGACCCAGCCCAAATGCCTATCAATCAATGAGTAGATAAAGAAACTTATATATATGTAGATATATATATATCTAGATATATATATATATGAAGGAATTAATGAAATCAACTATAACCTAATAGTAGTAGTAATAGAAATTTTAAAATCCTATTAAAGTTGCTGCAAAGTGTGACCCCCCCTTACACTCAAGTTAAAAGAGAATATTAACAGCCTGTCTTCTCTCTGTGAACAGTGGACCTTAGCTATGCTCCCCAACTCCGCATTCCTCAAAGTTTATTACAGGCCGAGTGAGTTCCTGCACGACTGCAGGGTCACAAGACTGATAAGTTTAGGTCGCAAGTCATGTCTTTCTCAAAATGTAAGATATGTTTCAATGCCGCCTTTGTTTCTTGCTTCTGTAACTCGCTTCCTGCCTCACATAGTTTCTGCCTTAAGATGTTTAAAAGTAGGAAAAGCCCTTTGTTCGGGGCTCAGACTTTCTGGACATATGTCCGGCTGGGCCAGTGATCACCTTAATAGACTCTCCTGAACCTTTTTCGGTCTCTCCAGTCTTTGTCCCGCAATATATAATACTACTTATCCATAAAAAATTAATACTACTCATCCATAAAAAATGATTGAATTAATGGCATTTCTAGCAACCTGGATGGGATTGGAGGCTATTATTCTAAGTGAAGTAACTCAGTAACGGAAAATCAAATATTGTATGTTCTCACTCATAAGTGGGACCTAAGCTGTGAGGATGCAAAGGTATAAGAATGATACAATGGATTTTGAGGACTCAGGGGGAAAGTGTGGGAAAAGGGTGAGGGATAAAAGGCTACAAATTGGGTTCAATGTACACTGCTCAGGTGATGGGTGCACCAAAATCTCACAAATCAACACTAAAAAACGTACTCATATAACCAAATACCACCTGTTTCCCAAAAACTTCTGGAAATAAAAAATAAAAATAAAGAAAAAAGGAGTTTTACCAAGGACCCACCCTAATTACCTAACTTTTCTCTCTCAAAACCAAAGTTCCCTACCCCAAATCCTAAAGGGAATATCAATACCAAATACCCTAGGGCATCTGGGGGGGTGGCCACAACCAGTACTGAAAACCTGGGGTGCCTGAGTTACAGCCAATGAGGGTCCCCACACCAAATGCTGAGACCCCTGGGATACCTGGAAGGGTGGCCAATAGTTAACCCAACATCAAGTTTGGGTCACCAAAGTGACTCTGGCATCCCAGAGTCAAAACAATGGGAGATCTCCCACAACCAAGTGTCCTGCCTTAAACAATTGCTCAAACACAGTTAACAAAAAGTTAAAAGCAAACATAAGACGGCAAACAAAACATACATTTTAGAAATGAAAATAAAGTGACTATTGGAACAATAAAATGGAATCAGAGGAGAAAGAACTGGGGGCAGGGACATCAAAAACATGTCTTGGGGCACACAAATGATGGGGACCTTCTAACCGATCACCTAGCCAAAGGCTTTCATTTTATTCTCTAGTTATCTTGATACTATGGGGGTGGGGACAGAGGGGACACTCACTCGTCCACTGGAACCAAAATGGCACTGACTAATCTTCCACTTGGGACCCAGGTGAAGATCTTTTCAGGATCCCTTAGCTTGGGTTGGCTAAGCTTCCATGGTGAAAAGGGCTATCATGGGGATCAGAAACCAATTGGTCTGGTAGTCAGAGCAGCAGGTCTCACACAAAGCAGCAGTATTAAGGCAACTTGCATTTCTGCTTAGTTCTACTGCCTGCCAAGGAAAATGATGGCTCTGAAAATAGCCTTTGGCTGGTAGTGTAACAGCTCTTAGGTGTTAACAGCTCTGCTTTGCTGCCTTTCACTGTCTCTCTGCTCATTGTCTTTACCAATTTTCATTTTTTACCATCTCACCAACTGCCACCTCATTGACTACCATTCCACTGACTGTTCATCCCACCAAATGCCATTTCACTGACTGCCACCCTGTTGATCACCAAATGTCAGCTGCCATTTCTTCAACCATCTCTCATGCTGCCGTCTTCTCTCTTCATCCCACTTTGGGTACCATGCTGATGCAGGGCAAATGAGCCCCAAATTGGGGCTTAGCCCATGAGACTTATTGGCTTTGCCCAGGAAAGAATTTAAGAGTGAGCCACTGGTAGGGTAGAAGAAAACAGCCTTATTGAAGTGGCAGTATTACAGCTCTGGCAATATTACAGCTTCATGACTTCTCCTGCAGAGCAGGGCTACCCCATAGACAGTGTACTCAGAGTCCTTCTCCCTTTTCTTATTTGCATTTTTCTCCAACACTGAGAAACCTGATTCTTATTATCTACAAATTATTTAAATTTTCAACCTTAGTATACTAATAAAATAATTTCAGAATTATTAAGCCATACCCTGTAAGAAACACATTTATGAACTATAGTACAGTCTCTTTGTATAGTAAAATTTTTAAACATGTTTAAATAGTTTAGATTTACAGAAAATTACAAATTTAATTTTTAACCTCACACTCAGTTCCTCTATTATTGACAGCTTATATTAGTATGTTTTATTTGCCACAACTGATGAACTAATAATGACAAATTATTTTTAATTAATGTCCATAGTTTATTCAGTTTTTTAAAGTTTATACCTAATGGCTATTCTTATGTTGCAGGATACCATATTACATTTAGTGGTCATGACTTCTTAGGCTCCTCATGGCTGTGACAGTTTCCCAGACTTTCCTTGTTTTTGATGACCTTGACAGTTTAAAGGAGTACTGCTCTAATTTTATAGAGTGTCCTTTTATTTGAATTTGTCTGACTTTTTTCTCATAATTAGACTGGCGTTATGAGTTTGGGAAATGAAAACCATAGAGGTAAAGACTTTGTGGATAGTTAATTTTATGTGTCAACTTGAAGGGTGTTTTTGGATGAGATTAACATTTAAATTAGTGAACTTTGAGTAAACAGATTGCCGTCCATAATGTGTATTGGCTTCACCCAATCGGTTAAAGGCCTGAATTGAACAAAAAGACTAGATTTCTTTAGCAGGAAAGAATTTTCCAGCAGACTTCCTTCAGACTTCATCTGCACCATTTGCTCTCCAGGGTCTCTGCCTGCCAACAAACACGGCAGATTTAGACTTGCCACTCTGCATAATTATGTGAGCCAACTCATTATAATCTATCTTATTGATGCTACTGGTTCTGTTTCTCTGGAGAAGCAGAAGTAATAAAAATTTTGGTACCTGAAGTATTTCTAAAGGAATAGAATATTAAGGATGAGTTTTCTGAAGTGGTTCTGGGTTTTATGGAACTGGCTCTCTAATCTTATTAGATTTAAAGATACTAATAACTCTATTGCCAGTAATAAAGGAAACACCAACAGTGTATGGCATCATCTGGCAATATAGATAAACAAAATATTGTCATTAGGTACTCATAATGGAACATAATAATCAGGGATCTGAGTGGCTGTGTATATGATAATTTTAAACATTTTTATCAAACTAACAAGCACAATGAGATTGGCTTGTTGCTTCTAATGTCGATGGACACATGGGGGAAAAAGCTCTATAATTCAAATTTCCAGCTCAACCTCAGCATAAATCACTTTAAGTTCATATTTCTTTCCTGAAAAAGATACCTATCTCCTGTAGCTGCAGAGCTAAAATTGCTGAAAACGAAATTCTAAATCTCATTCTACAAGTGGTTAAATTACAACACAAACTGAATTTTCAGCCTCTCAAGGTGTCTTTTATTAAAGTTAGAGCATTGATTGGAAAGAAATGGGATCCTGAAAGTTGGAATGAGAATCTGAAAGTTGCAGGGATGGTTATTGCCACCACATCCCCATTCAACTTGTTATTGGCCTGTGCTGAAGACAGATTGGTATGGGAGAACGACAGTGGCTTATGGTAAATTTAATCAAACGGTGACTGCAGTTGCAGCTACTTTACTAGATGAAATTTATTGCTAGAGAAAATCAACACATATTCTGTTACCTAGCATGAAGCTATTTGGTTTTTTTTAATTTTATTATTATTATACTTTAAGTTTTAGGGTACATGTGCAAAACGTGCAGGTTTGTTACATATGTATACATGTGCCATGCTGGTGTGCTGCACCCATTAACTCGTCATTTAGCATTAGGTATATCTTCTAATGCTATCACTCCCCCCTCCCCCCACCCCACAACAGTCCCCGGAGTGTGATGTTCCCCATCCTGTGTCCATGTGTTCTCATTGTTCAATTCCCACCTATGAGTGAGAACATGCAGTGTTTGGTTTTTTGTCCTTGAGATAGTTTGCTGAGAATGATGGTTTCCAGCTTCATCCATGTCCCTAAAAAGGACATGAACTCATCATTTTTTATGGCTGCATAGTATTCCATGGTGTATATGTGCCACATTTTCTTAATCCAGTCTATCATTGTTTGACATTTGAGTTGGTTCCAAGTCTTTGCTATTGTGAATAGTGCTGCAATAAACATCTGTGTGCATGTGTCTTTATAGCAGTATGATTTATCATCCTTTGGGTATATACCCAGTAATGGGATGGCTGGGTCAAATGGTATTTCTAGTTCTAGATCCCTGAGGAATCACCACACTGACTTCCACAATGGTTGAACTAGTTTACAGTCCCACCAACAGTGTAAAAGTGTTCCTATTTCTCCACATCCTCTCCAGCACCTGTTGTTTCCTGACTTTTTAATGATCGCCATTCTAACTGATGTGACATGGTATCTCATTGTGATTTTGATTTGCACTTCTTTGATGGCCAGTGATGGTGAGCATTTTTTCATGTGTTTTTTGGCTGCATAAATGTCTTCTTTTGAGAAGTGTCTGTTCATATCCTATGAACCAAGCTAGGCAAAAAAATGTATATTCTGTTGATTTGGGGTGGAGAGTTCTGTAGATGTCTATTAGGTCCGCTTGGTGCAGAGCTGAGTTCAATCCCTGGGTATGCTTGCTAAGTTTCTGTCTCGTTGATCTGTCTAATGTTGACAGTGGGGTGTTAAAATCTCCCATTATTATTGTGTGGGAGTCTAAGTTGCTTATAGACACTGGATACTAGAATTTCGTCAGATGCATAGTTTGTAAAATTTTTCTCCCATTTTTTAGGTTGTCTGTTTACTCTATTGATAGTTTCTTTTGTTCTGAAGAAGCTCTTTAGTTTAATTAGATTACATTTGTCAATTTTTGCTTTTGTTCCAGTTTCTTTTGGCATCTTGGTCATGAAATCTTTGCCCATGCCTATGTCCTGAATGGTATTGCCTAGCTTTTCTTCTAGAGTTTTAATAGTTTTTCGGTTTACAGTTAAGTCTTTAACCCATCTTGACTTGATTTTTGTATGTGGTAGAAGGGAGGGGTCCAGTTTCTTTTTTCTGCATACGGCTAGTCAGTTATTCCACGACCATTTATTAAATAGGGAATCTTTTTCCCATTGCTTGTTTTTGTGAGGTTTGTAGGAGATGAGATAATACAATGTACCAGAATCCCTGGGACATAGCTAAGGCAGTGTTAAGAGGAAAATGTATAGCACTAAATGCCCTCATCAAAAAACTAGAAAGATCTCAAGTTGACAACTTAACATAATAACTAAAAGAACTAGAGAACCAAGAGCAAACAATCCCCACAGCTAGCAGAAGAGAAGAAATTACCAAAATCAGAGCAGAGCAGAAGGATATAAGATGAGAAAAACCATTCCAAAGATCAATGAATCCAGGAGTTGTTTTTTGAAAAAATTAATAAAATAGTCCAATAGTTAGACTAACAAAGAAGAGAAGAGAAAGAATTTAAATAAACAAAATCAGAAATCTTAAGGGAGATATCACCACTGACCCCAGAGAAACACAAAAAAACCATCAGCAAATATAAATACCTCTATGCCCACAAACTAGAAAATCTGGAAGAAATGGATAAATTCCTGGACACATACATCCTTCCAAGTCTGAGCCAGGATAGCCTACCAAACCAAAACAGCTTAGGACCAGATGGATTCAGAGCTGAATTCTGTCAGATGTACAAAGAAGAGCTGGTACCATTCCTACTGAAACTGTTCCCAAAAAAATGGGGAAAAGGATGGACTCCTTGCTAACTCATTCTATGAAGCCAGCATCGACCTGATATCAAAACCTGGCAGAGATACAACACAAAAAAAGAAAACTTCAGGCCAATATCCTTGATGAACATCACTGCAAAAGTCCTCAACAAAATACTGGCAAACTGAATCCAGCAGCATATCAAAAAGCTTATCCACCACGATCAAGTAGGCTTCATCCCCAGGATGCAAGGTTGGTTCAACATATGAAAATCAATAAATATGATTTGTCACATAAACAGAACTAAAGACAAAAGCCACATGATTATCTCAATAGATACAGAAAAGACTTTTGATAAAACAATATGCTTCATGTTAAATACTCTCAATAAATTAGATATTAAAGGAACATACCTCAAAATATTAACAGCGATCTATCACAAACTCACAGCCATTATCATACGGAATGGGCAAAAGCTGGAAGCATTCCCCTTGAAGACCAGAACAGGATAAGGATAGCCTCTCTCACCTCTTCTATTCAACATGGTATTGGAAGTTCTGGCCAGGGCAATCAGGCAAAAGAGAGAAATAAAGGCATCCAAATAAAAAGAGAGGAAGTCAAACTATCCCTGTTTGCAGATGACATGATCCTATATCTTGAAAACTCCATCGTCTCAGCCCAAAGGCTTCCTAAGCTGATAAGTAACTTCAGCAAAGGCTCAGGATACAAAATCAATATGCAAAAGTCACTAGCATTCCTATCAACCAGCAACAGTCAAGCCGATATCCAAATCAGAAAGGTAACCCCAATTACAATTGCCACAAAAAGAATAAAATCCTAGGAATACATCTAACAAGGGAAGAGACAGATCTCTACCAGGAGAACTACAAGCCACTGCTCAAAGAAATCAGAGAGGACACAAGCAAATGGAAAAACTTTCCATGCTCATGGATAGGAAGAATCATTGTGGTGAAAATGACCATACTGCCCAAAGCAATTTATAGATTCAATGCTATTCCTATTAAACTACCATTGACATTCTTTACAGAACTAGAGAAAGAAGAAGCTATTTTAATGAAACCAAAAATGAGCCTGAATAGCCAAGGCAATCCTAAGCAAAAAGAACAAACCTAGAGGTATCACACTACCTGACTGCAAACTATACTACAGGGTTACAGCAACCAAAACAACATGGTACTGGTACAAGAACAGGCACACAGATGGATGGAACAGAATAGAGAACCCAGAAATAAGACCACACACCTACAAACATCTATTTTTTCTTTCTTCTCCTAGCCCTCGATCATATAACATAAAATGAATTGAGTTAACATTATAGTATTTAAGTATTGTTAACTTTATACTGTTAAAGTTACAGACTATTAAGGAGAAAAATACATATCATTTAAAAACTTTTCATCCTTTTCTGGGGAAAGGGAATGGTTAATGTTTATTTGGTTTTATGTAGGATAGTTGAATTATGATTAGTTAGAATTATGACCTAGTTACCAGTTAAAGTCCTGAATAGAATAAAAGACCAGCCTCCTTGAGCAAGATAAAATTTCCTAGCAGACTGACTTCAGATTTCATGAGCATCATTGACTGTCCTAGGTCTCCAGGTTACCCTCCTGTGTACCGGAACTGCACTACGGGCTTTCCTGAGTCTCAAGTCTCCCAGCCCACACGGCAAATTTAGACTTGTCAGTCTCCATAATCATGAGAGCCAGGTCCTTATAATAAATTACACATACAAGCACATGTACACACACACACACACACACACACACACACACACACACACACACACAGCCTATTGATTCTGTTTATCTTAAGAATCCTAACTAATACAAGTCCATTCTTATTGCATCATTCATGGATACATGCTATCAGGGTTACTGACTTACAATTGATGATGTTAACTTTGATCATTTTACTGATGTAGTGTCACCACATTTTTAATGTGAAGTTATTGTATTCCCCCTACTTATACTCT
The DNA here is from genome assembly GCF_000001405.40 of Homo sapiens. Classification (NCBI taxonomy): domain Eukaryota; kingdom Metazoa; phylum Chordata; class Mammalia; order Primates; family Hominidae; genus Homo; species Homo sapiens. Next base: position 80,165,800 of record NC_000023.11, on the reverse strand, counting down.
ACTTTTTTTTATAACAAGTCACTAACTATAATTTCCAATTGAGTGGTTGAGGGAGATGGTAGCTAAGGTCTACTTCCTTGAAGAAAAATAGCAGTGTACAAATTATTTGTAATTGTTATGTACAGGAGATTTACGTCCTCTCTCATTTATTTACTTTTTGATCATTTTATTTGTATCAGTATGAAATAATGGAAAATTACTTCATATATTATGTTATAATCCAATAGCATTATACTTATTATTATTTTTTGCTTGAATTCTTCCAACTTTTGTATTGGGAGCATTTTCATCATGGTGCCTCAATCCCTTTGGCATGTCTCTATCATTTTTTGTTGTTGTTGAGAATTTCATAACTTTCAAGTACTACAAGATGCTCCATTGTCATCTTGTATATTCCCCGTCTCTGTCCTAAAATAAGTTATGTCTCCAAGGAGCCCTGGGTTCTTTTATTTGAAAATAACCTTTAGAAACTGAGATCTTAATTCAGAATATACTCATTGCTACTGCAGTGCCACTGTTTCTAGGCCCTCTCATCTGTATTATATTAAACTATACATGAGTTTATACTGATGTCTCTGCTCTATTCCAGTGCCATGTGGTTTATTCTAATCTTTCCCTCTTACTTACCTGTAACCTCCTTTTCAGGTAAATAAGAAAGGTAAGAAACCTGGCTCCTACTATCTGCCATCCATTTACTTATTTATTTTGTTTATACATGTACAGAAGTTTCAGAATTGTCAACTCGTAACCCCATAAGAAACAACTTTACTAACTAGACTACAGTGCTTATGGATTGTGATGGTTAATATTGAGTATCTACTTGATTAGACTGAAGGATGCAAAGTGTTGTTCCTGGGTGTGTCTGTGAGGGTGTTGCCAAACAAGATTAACATTTGAGTCAGTGGACTGAGAGAGACAGACCCACCCTCAACCTGGGTGGGCACCATGTAATCAGCTGCCAATGTGCCTAGGATAAAAGCAGGCAGAAGAACATGGAAAGACTAGACTGGCTAAGTCCTCTGGGCTCCATCTTTTTCCCATAGTGGATGCTTCCTGCTCTGGAACATCAGACTCCAAGTTCTTCAGCTTTTGGACTATTGGACTTACATGAGTGATTTGTCAGGGGCTCTCAGGCCTTTGGCCACAGACTGGACGCTGCAGTATCGGCTTCCCTACTTTCAAGGTTTTGGAACTCCCACTGGCTTCCTGGCTCCTCATCTTTCAGACGGCCGATTGTGGGACTTCACCTTGTGATCATGTGTCAGTACTCCTAGTAAACCCCCCCTCATATATTCATCTACCCTATTCTGTCCTTTTAGAGAACGCTGACTGATATATGGATTATTCCTTTTGTCACAATATATGGTCTTGCTTTACAAGTATTTAGTGATTTCTAAAGTTACTTTGGTCAGCACCTTTCCCTCAACTCCCTTCAGTGAGGTTACTCTGTATACATGTAATGCAGTTAGAATATTTTCTCACAATCTGCAGTTCATCCTGTCATTTCCCCAACCTCCTAGTTGACTTCGTTTTTATTTTTTTATTGATACATAGTGTTTTTTCATGTTTATGGCATACATGTGGAATTTTGCTACGTGCATACAATGTGTAATAATCACATCAAGGTATTTAGGATATCCATCACATTAAACATTTATCATTTCTTTGTGTTGGAAAAATTCCAAATTTTCTCCTCTAGCTATTTTGAAATATATAAAATATTGTTAATTGTAGTCACCCTACTGTGCTGTAGAGCACTAGAATGTATTATTTGTGTTTAAATGTATGTTTGTACCCATTACCTAACCTCTCTTCATTCTACATCTTATGAACATCTCACCCTTTGGTAATTATCATTTTACTCTTCTGCCTCCATTAGATGGACGATTTTTATCTCCTACATGTGAGTGAGAACACACAATATTTGTCTTTCTATGCCTGGCTTATTTCACTTAAAATAATGACCTCCAGTTACATTCATATTGTTGCCAACGACAGAATTTTATTCTTTTATATGGCTAAATAGTATTCTATTGTGCGTATTTACCACATTTTCTGTATCCATTCATCTGTTGATGAGAATATAGGTTGAATCCATATTTTAATTATTGTGAATAGTGCTACAGTAAACATGGGGGTGCAGGAATCTCTTTAATATACCAATTTTCTTTACTTTGAATAAATACCCATTACTGAGATTGACAGATTATATAGTAGTTCCATTTTTAAGAAAACTCCATAATCTGGTTCATAATGACTGTACTATGTGAATTCCTAAAAACAGTATGTATTACCTTTTCTGAGCATCCTGTCCAGAATTTTACATTTTTTGTCTTTCTGATAATAGTCATTCTAACTGGGGTAACATGCTATCTCATTATTAGTTGGATTTGCATTTCCTTGATGATTAGTCATGTTTAACTTCTTTTAAGGCACCTGTTGGCCATTTATATGTCTTCTTTTGAAAGATGTCTATGCAGATCCTTTGCCCACTTTTAATAGTATTATTTGGTTGTTTTGCTGTTGAGTTGTTTGAGTTCCTTGTATATTCTGTATAATAGTCCTTTGTCACATGAATAGTTTGAAAATATCTTTCCCCCATTCTACAGTTAGTCTCTTCATTCTGTTGATTGTTTCATTTTCTGTGCAGAAGATTTTAGTTTCATATAGACCCACTTGCCTATTTTTATTTTTATTGACTGTGCTTTTGAGGTCTTAAGTTTGCTTAGACAAGTAGTCTAAGGTGTTTCCCCTGTGTTTTCTCCTAGTAGTTCTATAGTTTTATGTCTTTCATTTATGCCTTGAATCAGTTTTTTAATTGATTTTTAAACATAATATGAGACAGGGTCTAGTTCATTATTTTGCATATGAATATCAACTTTGCTCAGCACCATTTATTAAACAAGATGCCTTTTCCTCAATATATGTTCTTGGCACCTTTGTCAAAAATTAATTGACTATAAATACATGATTTTTTTCTGGGTCCTCTATTCTGTTCCATGAAATGATGTGTCTATTTTTGTACCAATACCATGCTGTTTTGGTTACTATAGCTTTGTAGTATATTTTGAAGTAAGGTATTATGAAGCATGTAGCTTTGTTCCTTTTTCTCAGGATTTCTTTGACTTTTTAGGGCAGCAGCTGCCAACCTTTTTGGCACCAGTGACTAGTTTCATGGAAGATAATTTCTCCACAGATGGAGTGGGGAGGGAAGGTTTTGGGATGAAACTGTTCCACCTCAGATAATCAGGCATTAGTTAGATTCTCATAAGGAGTGCACAACCTAGATCCCTCAGATGCACAGTTCACCATAGGGTTCATGCTTCTATGAAAATCTAATGCTGCAGCTGATCTGGCAGAAGGTGGAACTCAGGCAGTAATGCTCACTTGCCACTTACCTCCTGATGTGTGGCCTGGTTCCTAAGAGGTCATGGACCAGTATGGCCTAGGATTTGGGAACCCCTGATTTAAGGCCTTTTGTGGTTTCATAAAATTTTAAGATGGTTTTTCCTACTTCTGTTAAAATGTCATTGGTATTTTGAAAGGGATTGTAATAAATTTGTAAATTTTGGGGGGTAGGATGGTCACTTTAACAAACAGCCCTATTAAAAAGTGGACAAATTACATGAACAGTCACTTATCCAAAGAAGACATACATGTGGACAAGAAACATATGACAAAAAGCTCAACATCATGTATCATTCCAGAAATGCAAATTAAAACCTCCATGAGATACCATCATACACCCGTCAGAATGGTGATTATTAAATAGTCAAGTAAAAAAACAGATACTGGTGGGGTTGCAGAGAAAAAGGGACGATTTTACACTGTTGGTGGGAATGTAAATTAGTTCAACCCTTGTGAAAGACAGTGTGGAGATTCCTCAAAGGTTTAGAACTAGAAATACCAGTTGTTGACCCAGCAATCCCATTACTGGGTATACACCCAAAGGAATGTAAATCATTCTATTATAAAGATACATGCACACATATGTTCATTGCACCACTATTTCCAATAGCAAATACATTAAATCAACCTAAATGCCTATCAATAACAGATTAGATAAAGAAAATGCGGTACATATACACCATGGAATACTATGCAGCCATAAAAAGGAACAAGATCATGTTCCTTGCAGGGACATGGATGAAGCTGGAAGCTATTACCCTCAGCATACTAACACAGGAACAGGAAACCAAACACTGCATGTTCTTACTTTAAGTGGGAGCTGAACAATGAGAACACATGGGCACAGGGAGGGGCACAATACACACTGGGGCCTGTCAGGTGAGGGTGCAGGGGGAGAGCATCAGGAAAAAAGACTATTGCATGCCAGGCTTAATATCTAGGTGATGGATTGATTGGTGCAGCAAACCACCATGGCAAATGTTTACTTATGTAATAAACCTGCACATCCTGTACATGTACCCCAGAACTTAAAATAAAATAAAATAATTAGAAAGGAAAAAAAAACTATTAATTCTCTGATCCATTAGCATTGGATATCTTTCTATTTTTGGTGTCCAATTCAAATTTCTTTCATCAGTGTCTTTTTTTTTTTTTTTTTTTTTTTGTAGAGACCTTTCACTTCCTGGGTTAAATTTATTCCTAGGTATCTTATTTTTTATAGTCATTGTAAATGTGATTGCTTTATCTATTCCTTTTAGGGATTTATAGAAACATTACAGGTTTTTATATGTTGATTTTTGTATTCTATGACTTTCGTTAACTTGTTTTTAGTACTAATAGATTCTTTGTGGAATCTTTATGTTTTTCTTTATGTATAAGGTCATGTAATCTGTAAAGAGGGACAGTTTGACTTCCTTTTTTCCAACTTGGATGCCTTTATTTCTTTCTGTAGCCTTATTGCTCTGATTATGACCTTTTAAATAAGTTGAATAACAGTGGTGAAATTGGTCATACTTGTCTGGTTCTGGTTTTTAAAGGAAAGACTTTCAGCTTTTTCCCATCCAATATTATGTTAGCTGTGGGTTTGTCACAATGGTGCTTATTTTGTTGAGGTATGTTTCTTCTATGCCTAAATTTTTGAGATTTATTAATATGAAAAGATAATATTTTTTAAATGCTTTTTCTGTATCTGTTGATGTAATCTTATGTTTTTTTGTCCTTCATTTTGTTGATGTAACATATCACATTCATTGATTTGCATATGTCTAACCATACTTGCATCAAGTGGATAGACTCCACTTGATCATGATATATTATTATCATTGTTATTACTTTTTCCTGAGACGGAATCTTGCTCTGTCACCCAGGCTGGAGTGCAGTGACGCAATCTTGGTTCACTGCAACCTCCACCTCCAGGGTCCAAGCGATTCTCCTGCCTCACCCTCACGAGTAGCTGGGACTACAGGCATGCACCACCATGCCCGGCTAATTTTTGTATTTTTTAGTAAAGACGGAGTTTCACCATGTTGGCCAGGATGGTCTCAAACTCCTGGCCTCAAGTGATTCACCTGCCTTGGCCTCCCAAAGTGCTGGGATTACAGGTGTGAGCCACTGCACCTAGCCTAATTTTTTTTTTTTTTATGTGTGTTACTGGATTCATTTTGCTAGTATTTTGTTTGGGATGTTTTGTGTCTAGGTTCCTCAGGTATATTGTCCTATAGTATTCTTTTTTGTTGTGTCCTTGTATAGTTTTGGTGTCAGGGTAGTGCTGGCCTTGTAGAATGAATTAGCAATAATTCCCTTCTCTTCTTTGCTTTGAATGTTTTGAAGAGTTAGCCTTAGTTCTTTATAAATTTAGTAGAACTCAGCAGTAAAACCATTTGGTCCTTGGTTTTTATTTATTGGGAGACTTTTTAATTACTGATTCAATCTCATTACTTCATATTGGTCTGTTCAGTTCAGGTTTTATATTTCTTCCTGGTTCGATCTTTGCAATTTGTATATGTTCAGGAATTAATCTATTTCTACTGGATTTTTGTATTTGTTAGCTCATACTTGTTCATAATAGTCTTTGATGAACTTTTTCATTTCTGTGTTCAGTTGTAATATCTCCCTTTTATTTCTAATTTTGTTTATTTTGGTATTTCTCATTTTTCTTTATTAATCTTGGTAGTGGTTTGTTGATTTTGTTTATATTTTCAAAAACCAACTTTTCATTTTTTTATCCTTTGTATTTTTTTAATTTAACTTTTATTTTAAGTTCAGGGGTGCATGTGCAGATTTGTTATATAGGTCAAGTTGTGTTATGGGGTTTTTATACAGATTATTTCATTGCCAAGGAATTATGCCTAGTACCCATTAGTTATTTTTTCTGATCCTCTTCATCCTTTCACCTTCTATTCTCTTATAGGCCCCAGTGTGTGTTGTTCCTCTCTATGTGTCCATGTGTTCACATCATTTAGCTCCCACTTATAAGTGAGAACATGTGGCATTTGGTTTTCTGTTCCTGTGTTACTTTGCTAAGGATAATGGCCTCTAACTCCATTCATGTTCCTGCAAAGGACGTGATCTTGTTCTTTTTTGTGGCTGCATAGTATTCCATGGTGTAAATGGGAATCAGAAGGCTGAGTGGGCACCAGAAGGCCCACCAGTGTGTAAATGCCCACATTTTCTTTATCCATTTTATCATTGATGAGCATTTAGGTTGATTCCATCTTTTTGCTATTCTGAATAGTGCTGCAATGAACATACATATGCACGTGTCTATATCATAGAACAATTTGTATTTCTGTGGGTATATACCCTGTAATGAGATTGCTGGGTTGAATAATATTTATGTTTTCAGGTCTTTGAGGATTTGCCACACTGTCTTCTACAGTGGTTGAACTAATTTACATTTCCAACAAATTTTAAAAGCATTTCTTTTTCTCTACAAAATTATTTTTTGTCAATGTGCTTTCACCTCTCAAATCTCTCCTGCACTTGAAAACACTACTTGCTTCAGATGTCTGCAGTACTGCAACTCATAAACCTGTTTCATGTTTAAAAACAATACCTATTTTTTAAGGCATAAGACAAGAATTATGAGGGATCATTTCCCTGGAGCCTAAATAGAGTTTTTTCAATAAAATAAAAGCTTAAGGCTACAGGTCATGCTATGTTAGTGACAAGTGCCAGATTTCACATACCAGAGATTTTCATATGTTCTTTAATATATTTGTGTGTGTGTTTGTGTGTGTGTGTGTGTGTGTGTGTGTGTGAGAGAGAGAGAGAGAGAGAGAGAGAGAGAGATTGAGAGAAAGTGGGTACCTCTAAACTACATGGTCTAGCAGGGTCTAGAGAAGGAGCTTTTCATTTTCAAGTCAAACTGCTCCCACTTTCTGAGGTGTCTAGTTTCCAGTGGTTTCAAATGTGTGTTCTCAGGGGATCCTCATGGTTAATAGGTCAGTTTTAAATGGTAGCTTTTTGTGGAAAACACTTCAGTTCTAAATTCCTCAGTTATGCCAAGTCATTTACCAATCTTTATTTGTTTTTAATTTTCAAAAAAATTTATTTGAAATCTCTTAACCTCAGTTGTCATTTTCTATCCTTTTTGTCCTTATGGAATCACATATTTTTATTTCTATATGCTCATTTTAGTAACGTAGTAGGAGACAGATTAGAGTAAACTAATATATTTGATTCACAAGTTTAAATTAATCTTATCTGTTTTCCATTGGAATTTTTATTGATATTGATTAGTAAAATGATTTCACAATTTTAATTTTGTTATATCATACACTTGTACACATTAGTTTTAATATATTTTCTGTCTACTGTTACATCCATTTCTTCCTGTACTCAAAGTACCTAATATTTTAGGCCACTTGTTATTGACTAAAGTTCATGAGACTCTGTTTATTTTTTTCATATATATTTTTCTATATAATTTTAAAATTGAGTAATTTCTATTAGACTGTCTTCAAGTTTGCTGATGTTGCTTTGTTGTCACCATTCTACTATTAAATCCATCAGATGATGTTTTATTAAAATTTCAAATACTGTATTTTCAGTTATTAAATTTCTATCATTATTTTTTACCTTTTTTTCTTCTGCTTGGCTTTCCTGTTTTTTTCTCCATTGTGAGCCAATTTCTGTTCACCTCATTGAGCATTATAATGATAGAAGCACTTCCTAAAACTTATTGAGAATTTCAGAAGAGCCATTGTTTATGTTAATTACACATATACAAATTTGCCATATTGGAAGTTAAAAATTAATATTTAAGTGTAAGAATGCATGTGATGATGTTAGAGCAATGGCATCATCGCATATTGTAAAACCTCTGGGAAACTTCAATATACACTTGTGAGATAATATTCTTGTGAAAAATATTTTGACTTTGTAGATTCACTAAAAGGATCTCAGTTTGTAATTTGAAAACTACCGTTATAGGGCTGGAGCCAAGATGGCCAAATAGGAACAGCTCCAGTCTACAGCTCCCAGCGTGAGCGACACAGAAGACAGGTGATTTCTGCATTTCCATCTGAGGTACCGGGTTCATCTCACTAGGGAGTGCCAGACAGTGGGCGCAGGACAATGGGTGCAGCTCACTGTGTGCGAGCCGAAGCAGGGCGAGCCATTGCCTCACTCGGGAAGTGCAAGGGGTCAGGGAGTTCCCTTTCCTAGTCAAAGAAAGGGGTGACAGATGGCACCTGGAAAATCGGGTCACTCCCACCCCAATACTGCGCTTTTCTGACGGGCTTAAAAAACGGCGCACCAGGAGATTATATCCTACACCTGTCTCGGAGGGACCTACGCCCACGGAGTCTCGCTGATTGCTAGCACAGCAGTCTGAGATCAAACTGCAAGGTGGCAGCGAGGCTGGAGGAGGGGTGCCCGCCATTGCCCAGGCTTGCTTAGGTAAACAAAGCAGCTAGGAAACTTGAGCAGGGTGGAGCCCACCACCGCTCAAGGAGGCCTGCCTGCCTCTGTAGGCTCCACCTCTGGGGGCAGGGCACAGACAAACAAAAAGACAGCAGTAACCTCTGCAGACTTAAATGTCCCTGTCTGACAGCTTTGAAGAGAGCAGTGGTTCTCCCAGCACGCAGCTGGAGATCTGAGAACGGGCAGACTGCCTCCTCAAGTGGGTCCCTGACCCCTGACCCCCGAGCAGCCTAACTGGGAGGCACCCTCCAGTAGGGGCAGACTGACATCTCACACGGCCGGGTACTCCTCTGAGACAAAACTTCCAGAGGAACGATCAGACAGCAGCATTCGCGGTTCATGAAAATCCACTGTTCTGCAGCCACCACTGCTGGTACCCAGGCAAACAGCATCTGGAGTGGACCTCTAGCAAACTCCAACAGACCTGCAGCTGAGGGTCCTGTCTGTTAGAAGGAAAACTAACAAACAGAAAGGACATCCACACCAAAAACGCATCTGTACATCACCATCATCAAAGACCAAAAGTAGATAAAACCACAAAGATGGGGAAAAAACAGAGCAGAAAAACTGGAAACTCTAAAAAGCTGAGCGCCTCTCCTCCTCCAAAGGAATGCAGCTCCTCACCAGCAATGGAACAAAGCTGAATGGAGAATGACTTTGATGAGTTGAGAGAAGAAGGCTTCAGACGATCAAACTACTCCGAGCTACAGGAGGAAATTCAAACCAAAGGCAAAGAAGTTGAAAACTTTGAAAAAAATTTAGATGAATGTATAACTAGAATAACCAATACAGAGAAGTGCTTAAAGGAGCTGATGGAGCTGAAAGCCAAGGCTCGAGAACTACGTGAACAATGCAGAAGCCTGAGGAGCCTATGCGATCAACTGGAAGAAAGGGTATCAGTGATGGAAGATGAAATGAATGAAATGAAGTGAGAAGGGAAGTTTAGAGAAAAAAGAATAAAAAGAAACGAACAAAGCCTCCAAGAAATATGGGACTATGTGAAAAGACCAAATCTACATCTGATTGGTGTACCTGAAAGCGACGGGGAGAATGGAACCAAGTTGGAAAACACTCTGCAGGATATTATCCAGGAGACCTTCCCCAATCTAGCAAGGCAGGCCAACATTCAGATTCAGGAAATACAGAGAATGCCACAAAGATAATCCTCAAGAAAAGCAAATCCAAGAAACATAATTGTCAGATTCACCAAAGTTGAAATGAAGGAAAAAATGTTAAGGGCAGCCAGAGAGAAAGGTCGGATTACCCGCAAAGGGAAGCCCATCAGACTAACAGTGGATCTCTCAGCAGAAACTCTACAAGCCAGAATAGAGTGGGGGCCAATATTCAACATTCTTAAAGAAAAGAATTTTCAACCCAGAATTTCATATCCAGCCAAACTAAGCTTCATAAGTGAAGGAGAAATAAAATCCTTTACAGACAAGCAAATCCTGAGAGATTTTGTCACCACCAGGCCTGCCCTAAAAGAGCTCCTGAAGGAAGCACTAAACATGGAAAGGAACAACTGGTACCAGCCACTGCAAAAACATGCCAAATTGTAAAGACCATCGAGGCTAGGAAGAAACTGCATCAACTAATGAGCAAAATAACCAGCTAACATCATAATGACAGGATCAAATTCACACATAACAATATTAACTTTAAATGTAAATGGACTAAATGCTCCAATTAAAAGACACAGACTGGCAAATTGGATAAAGAGTCAAGACCCATCAGTGTGCTGTATTCAGGAAGCCCATCTCACATGCAGAGACACACATAGGCTCAAAATAAAAGGATGGAGGAAGATCTACCAAGCAAATGGAAAACAAAAAAAGGCAGGGGTTGCAATCTTAGTCTCTGATAAAACAGACTTTAAACCAACAAAGATCAAAAGAGACAAAGAAGGCCTTTACATAATGGTAAAGGGATCAATTCCACGAGAAGAGCTAACTATCCTAAATATATATGCACCCAATCCAGAAGCACCCAGATTCACAAAGCAAGTCCTGAGTGACCTACAAAGAGACGTAGACTCCCACACAATAATACTGGGAGACTTTAACACCCCACTGTCAGCATTAGACAGATCAATGAGACAGAAAGTTAACAAGGATACCCAGGAATTGAACTCAGCTCTGCACCAAGCGGACCTAATAGACATCTACAGAACTCTCCACCCAAAATCAACAGAATATACATTTTTTTCAGCACCACACCACACCTATTCCAAAATTGACCACAGAGTTGGAAGTAAAGCTCTTCTCAGCAAATGTAAAAGATCAGAAATTATAACAAACTGTCTCTCAGACCACAGTGCAATCAAACTAGAACTCAGGATTAAGAAACTCACTCAAAACTGCTCAACTACATGGAAACTGAACAACCTGCTCCTGAATGACTACTGGGTACATAACGAAATGAAGGCAGAAATAAAGATGTTCTTTGAAACCAATGAGAACAAAGACACAACATACCATAATCTCTGGGACACATTCAAAGCAGTGTGTAGAGGGAAATTTATAGCACTAAATGCCCACAAGAGAAAGCAGGAAAGATCCAAAATTGACACCCTAACATCACAATTAAAAGAACTAGAAAAGCAAGAGCAAACACATTCAAAAGCTAGCAGAAGGCAAGAAATAACTAAAATCAGAGCAGAACTGAAGGAAATAGAGACACAAAAAACCCTTCAAAAAATTAATGAATCCAGGAGCTGGTTTTTTAAAAAGATCAACAAAATTGATAGACCGCTAGCAAGACTCATAAAGAAGAAAAGAGAGAAGAATCAATTAGACTCAATAAAAAATGATAAAGGGGATATCACCACCTATCCCACAGAAATACAAACTACAATCAGAGAATACTACAAACACCTCTACACAAATAAACTAGAAAATCTAGAAAAAATGGATAAATTCCTCGACACATACACCCTCCCAAGACTAAACCAGGAAGAAGTTGAATCTCTGAATAGACCAATAACAGGATCTGAAATTGTGGCACTAATCAATAGCTTACCAACCAAAAAGAGTCCAGGACCAGATGGATTCACAGCCGAATTCTACCAGAGGTAGAAGGAGGAACTGGTACCATTCCTTCTGAAACTATTCCAATCAATAGAAAAAGAGGGAATCCTCCCTAACTCATTTTATGAGGCCAGCATCATCCTGATACCAAAGCCGGGCAGAGACACAACCAAAAAAGAGAATTTTAGACCAATCTCCTTGATGAACATTGATGCAAAAATCCTCAATAAAATACTGGCAAACCGAATCCAGCAGCACATCAAAAAGCTTATCCACCATGATCAAGTGGGCTTCATTGCTGGGATGCAAGGCTGGTTCAATATATGCAAATCAATAAATGTAATCCAGCATATAAACAGAACCAAAGACAAAAACCACATGATTATCTCAATAGATGCAGAAAAGGCCTTTGACAAAATTCAACAACCCTTCATGCTAAAAACTCTCAATGAATTAAGTATTGATGGAACGTATCTCAAAATAATAAGAGCTATCTATGACAAACCCACAGCCAATATCATACTGAATGGGCAAAAACTGGAAGTATTCCCTTTGAAAACTGGCACAAGACAGGGATGCCCTCTCTCACCACTACTATTCAACATAGTGTTGGAAGTTCTGGCCATGGCAATTAGGCAGGAGAAGGAAATAAAGGGTATTCAATTAGGAAAAGAGGAAGTCAAATTGTCCCTTTTTGCAGATGACATGATTGTATATCTAGAAAACCCCATCGTCTCAGCCCAAAATCTCCTTAAGCTGATAAGCAACTTCAGCAAAGTCTCAGGATACAAAATCAATGTACAAAAATCACAAGCATTCTTATACACCAATAACAGACAAACAGAGAGCCAAATCATGAGTGAACTCCCATTCACAATTGCTTTAAAGACAATAAAATACCTAGGAATCCAACTGACAAGGGACGTGAAGGACCTTTTCAAGGAGAACTACAAACCACTGCTCAATGAAATAAAAGAGGATACAAACAACTGGAAGAACATTCATGCTCATGGGTAGGAAGAATCTATATCGTGAAAATGGCCATACTGCCCAAGGTAATTTATAGATTCAATGCCATCCCCATCAAGCTACCAATGACTTTCTTCACAGAATTGGAAAAAACTACTTTAAAGTTCATACGGAACCAAAAAAGAGCCCGCATCGCCAAGTCAATCCTAAGCCAAAAGAACAAAGCCAGAGGCATCACAATACCTGACTTCAAACTATAGTACAAGGCTACAGTAACCAAAACGGCATGGTACTTGTACCAACACAGAGATATAGATCAATGGAACAGAACAGAGCCCTCAGAAATAATGCCGCATATCTACAACCATCTGATCTTTGACAAACCTGAGAAAAACAAGCAATGGGGAAAGGATTCCCTATTTAATAAATGGTGCTGGGAAAACTGACTAGCCATATGTAGAAAGCTGAAACTGGATCCCTTCCTTACACCTTATACAAAAATTAATTCAAGATGGATTAAAGATTTAAACGTTAGACCTAAAATCATAAAAACCCTTGAAGAAAACCTAGGCATTACCATTCAGGACATAGGCGTGGGCAAGGACTTCATGTCTAAAACACCAAAAGCAATGGCAACAAAAGCCAAAATTGACAAATGGGATCTAATTAAACTAAAGAGCTTCTGCACAGCAAAGAAACTACCATCAGAGTGAACAGGCAACCTACAAAATGGGAGAAAATTTTCACAACCTACTCATATGACAAAGGGCTAATATCCAGAATCTACAATGAACTCAAACAAATTTACAAGAACAAAACAAACAACGCTATCAAAAAGTGAGTGAAGGACATGAACAGACACTTCTCAAAAGAAGATATTTATGCAGCCAAAAACCACATGAAAAAATGCTCACCATCACTGGCCATCAGAGAAATGCAAATCAAAACCACAATGAGATACCATGTCACATCAGTTAGAATGGCAATCATTAAAAAGTCAGGAAACAACAGGTGCTGGACAGGATGTGGAGAAATAGGAACACTTTTACACTGTTGGTGGGACTGTAAACTAGTTCAACCCTTGTGGAAGTTAGTGTGGCAATTCCTCAGGGATCTAGATGTAGAAATACCATTTGACTCAGCCATCCCATTACTGGGTGTATATCCAAAGGACTATAAATCATGCTGCTATAAAGTCACATGCACACGTATGTTTATTGCGGCACTATTCACAATAGCAAAGACTTGGAACCAACCCAAATGTCCAACAATGATAGACTGGAGTAAGAAAATGTGGCACTTATACACCATGGAATACTATGCAGCCATAAAAAATGATGAGTTCATGTCCTTTGTAGGGACATGGATGAAATTGGAAATCATCATTCTCAGTAAACTATCACAAGAACAAAAAACCAAACATCACATATTCTCACTCATAGGTGGGAATTGAACAATGAGAACACATGGACACAGGAAGGGGAACATCACACTCTGGGGACTGTTGTGGGGTGCGGGGAGGCGGGAGGGACAGCTCTAGGAGATATACCTAATGCTAAATGACGAGTTAATGGGTGCAGCACACCAGCATGGCACATGTATACATATGTAACTAACCTGCACATTGTGCATATGTACCCTAAAACTTAAAGTATAATAATAATAAAATAAAAAAAGAGAAAAAAAAGAAAACTACTGTTATAATGGTTACTTACTTTGAAACTTTTTACTATTAATTCTAACATCCAGGTTGACCTCTGTTTGATTGCATTTTCCTTTAGGAATGGGTGACATTTTCTGAATTCCTTATACATCAAGTAATTTTGGTTTGTATTTAAAACATGAACAATGTTATGTCATGGAGACTTTGGGTTCTGTTGTATCCAAAATTGTTTTGACAATTTTGTTTTGATAGGCAAACGAACACCCAAAATTCAAAAATTTGGTTGCTCAATAGTCTTCCATATATCACATAGGCTTTTTTCATTCTTTTCATTCTATTTTCTTTCTCTTTCAAGTCTGACTGAGTCATTCAAAATGGCTTTATTGATGTTCATATTTTTTTTTGCTTAATGTAGTCTACTGAAGGTCTAGATTATATTTTTTATTTTATTAACTGAATTCAATTCCAAGATTTCTGTTTGATTCTTTTTTATGATATCTATCTCATTGAATTTCTCATTCAGATAACAAATTGTTTTCCTATTTTTTTTGTATTTCTTATCTGCATTCTCTTGTTTTACTAAGAATTTTCTTATTAAAGTATATTATTGAATAATATTGCTTTTAGACATTTCATAGATTTTTTTGTTATTAGTTATAGTAAACCAATTGTGTAATATAACACCAGAACATGTTATCGCTGTCTAACTATAACTTTGTACCCATTGACCTAACTTCTAGTTTATCCTTCCACTCCTCCTCCCATCACCAGCCTTCATATAACTACTATTTTACCCTTAACTTCTATGGGATCACTTTTTTAGATTCCACACATGAGATTTATGCAGTATTTATTTTTTATGTATGGGTTATTTTACTTAGAATAATGTCCATGTTGTTATGAATAAGAGGATTTCATCCTTTTATGGCTGAATAGTATTCCATCATGTACATATACATATTTTATTTATTCCTTTTTATTTTTATTTTATTTTTCCATAGTTTACTGGGGTATAGGTGGCATTTGATTACATGAGTAAGTTCTTTAGTGGTGATTTGTGAGATTTGGTGCACCCATCACCCGAGCAGTATACATTGTACCATATTTGCAGTCTTTTATCCCTTGCCCCCTCCCAATACAGCAAAATTGGCATACAAGGGACATACCTCAATACAATAAAAGCCATCTTTGACAAACCCACAGCCAACATAATACTGCATGGGAAAAAGTTGAAAGCATTCCCTCTGAAAACAGGAACAAGACAAGGTTGACAATTTTCACCACTCCTCTTCAACATAGTACTGGAAGTCCTAGCCAGAGCAATCAGCCAAGAGAAAGAAATAAAGGGCATCCAAATTGGTAAAGAGGAAGTCAAACTCACTGTTTGCTGACAATGTGATTGTTTACCTTGAAAACCCTAAGGACTCCTCCAGAAAGTTCCTAGAACTGATAAAATAATTTGGCAAAGTTTCCAGATACAAGATTAATGTATGCAAATCAGTAGCTCTTCTATACTACAACAGCAACACAGCAGAGAATCAAATCAAGAACTCAACCCCTTTTACAATAGCTGCAAAAAAAAAAAAGATACTTAGGAATATACCTAACAAAGGAATCGAAAGACCTCCACAAGGAAAACTACAAAACACTGCTGAAAGAAATCATAGATGACACAAACAAATGGAAACACATTCCATGCTCATGGATGCTTGGAATAAATATTGTGAAAATTATCATACTGCCAAAAGCAATCTACAAATTCAGTGCAATCCCCATCAAAATACCACCATAATTCTTCACAGAAATAGAGAAAACAATTCTAAAATTCATATGGAACCAAAACATAACCAAAGCAAGACTAAGCAAAAAGAACAAATCTGGAGGCATGACATTACCTGATTTCAAACTATACTATAAGGCCATTGTCACCAAAACAGCATGGTACTGGTATAAAAATAGGCACTTAGACCAATGGAACAGAATAGAGAACCCAGAAGTAAACCCAAATACTTACAGCCAACTGGTCTTCAACCAAGCAAACAAAAACATAAAGTAGGGAAAGGACACCCTTTCCAACAAATGGTGCTAGGATAATTGGCTAGCCACATGTAGGAGAATGAAACTGGATCTTTCTTTCTTTATTCTTCTCATTTCTTTACCTAATTTAATAAAAATATTGAAGGTTCTGAATTTGTCTCAGACTACAACTTTGATAGCCTACTGAGAGAGGAGAAAATAAGAAATCATTCATGCAGGCAGTTAGGGCAGGTCCTTGGTAAAACTGCTTCAAAGAACACTCTGAAAAATCAAACTACAGGCCTCAGATAAGAGCCTGTGTTCTTGGATGTAAATGCTTACTCTGTGAACCAAGATAAACAAATTCTACTCACTTTTAGGACACATTTCTCTCTCTTCAGCATGCCTTAGTCTCTTACTTTTCACCTATTTGTCTCTTACTTTTCATCTCTATTACATATGCTTACCTTTCTGTAATTGGCTGCAGGCTAATTCTTCCTTTACATAGGGTGAATCATCACTTTAACCCCTAATTGGTCCCAGGCCAAGGTCCTGGGCCAAGCCTTCACCTCTGCCTCCAGTTGATTCTTTAAATTATCATACTTCTTTCTAAGTGGTGCTTTCTCCAAAAGAGCCTGCAGACCAGTCAGCACATTCCTCTCCTTCCCAGTCCATAAAAACCCCAGACTCAGCATCATAATTGGCAATCCTCTTTGGGGCCCCCTCTCCACTACAGAGTGCTTTCTTCTTTTGCTTATTAAACTTTTGCTCCAACCTCACCCTTGTGTCCATGCTTCTTAATTTTCTTGGTTGTGAAACAAATAACTCTGGGTGATACCTCAAACAGAGGCTGCTACATTGTGGTGCATTGGCGAGACTGTAACACTACTAACTTCATGTCAGAAATACTCATGAGATTTTTTGTTTGTTTGTTTGTTTTTAGAAATTAGGGACTAGAAAGCAAAACCTGAAACCTACTAAATAAAATCTCCTGTGAGGGAAGCTCCAGCATCTTTTCCAATGAAAGCAAAGCCAATAAGCTAACACGCAGAAACTTCACCTGAGATTATTTTGTGTAGCCAGGATGAAGAGATACTGTCAGCTATGTTGCATCCTGATTTTATTTGCATTTTATTTTACTTTAGAGTTCCTAGCCCCAGGAATGGTTTATGAGTTTTTCTTTCATTTTAGTGTCAGTGAAATGTTTCTTTCCTTTTCTAAACTTTATTGTTTTTTTTATCTTTGTCAAAGAGTATGGCCTATACAATTTCTACTTTCTTGCGCTGTGTTGAATTTTCTTTGTCCTTAAGAAATGATAAGTTGCAGCTGGGCATGGTGTCACATGCCTGTAATCCCAGAACTTTGGCAGGCCAAGGCTGTTGGATCACCTGAAGTCGGGAATTCGAGACCAGCCTGACCAACATGGAGAAACCCTGTCTCTACTAAAAATGCAAAATTAGCTGGGCATGGTGGTGCATGCCTGTAATCCCAGCTAGTTGGGAGGCTGAGGCAAGAGAATTGCTTGAACCCCAGAGGCAGAGGTTACAGTGAGCCAAGATCACGCCACTGCACTCCAGCATGGGCAACAAGAGCAACACTCCATCTCAAAAAAAAAAAAAAAAAAGAAAAAAATGATAAGTTTCTGACTGTGTGTGGTGGTTCATGCCTATAATCCCAGCACTTTGGGAGGCCGAGGTGGGTGGATCACCTGAGGCCTGGAGTTTGAGACCACCCTGGCCAACATGGTGAAACTGATCTCTACTAAAAGTACAAAAAATTAGCCAGGCATGGTGGCAGGCGCCTGTAATCCTACCTAATTGGGAGGCTGAGGCAAGAGAATCACTTGAACCTAGGGGGTGGAGGTTGCAGTGAGCCAAGATCACACCATTGCACTCCAGCCTGGGCAACAAGAGCAAAACTCCATCTCAAAAAAAAAAAAAAAAAGAAGAAGAAAAGAAAAGTTGCATAAATGTTCAATGGATACTAAAAAAAGCAGTATTCTCTATTTCTAGAATAGAAAATCCAATTTATATAACTATTAATCAAACTTTCAAACTATATAATAAAATTTTTCTGTCTCTATTTTTTGGCTATTTTGGTCATTCTAAGAATGAGTAGATGAATAACCTCAATTATGCTATTTTCAGATTTCCCTTCCTCTCTAACAGTTTTCTCCCATACACATTTTGTTGCTTTGTTATTCTGAAAAGAAAGGGTGATAACCATTATACCTTCATATTAGATTACACTTTGGATAAAAACAAACTAAGCCTTTTTATTATAATACTTTTAACTTAAATTCTACTTGTCTGAAGTTAATTTTGCTATTCTAACTTTGTTTTTGTTTGGGTTGCCCACTAGATATTCTTGCATTGCTCAGTGATTAATCTTCTTGTATCATTTAGTTTTAATTGTGTATTTTATAAGCATTTTGGAGTTGAACTCTGATTTTTAACCTAATCTAAAAGTATTTTTATTTCAATAGGTAGGTTAAAATTCTTTGTATTTATTGTCTTGCATGAGATGTAATAATTCTGTGTACATTTATTGTTGAGTTCTTTTTAGCTGCATGCTCTTCCCCTTTATATTCTGTCAATCAAGGAAAATGACTGAGGCTGGTAGCAATTGTTTTAAGAGACTAATTTGCCAAAGTTAAGGATGCACTCCTGAGAGACAAATCTATGCCTTTCTACTAAGATGATTTTGATGGCTTCAATATTTAAAGATGAAAGGGTGAGATACTGAGAAATACACAATTTTCATGTGAGAGAGGGGTAGGGGAAAATGTTCTTGCCTTTGGCTCAGCAAATCTGCATTTTTACATAAGATAAAGTAGACGATAGGGCAGAGGAAACAATCAGATATGCATTTGTCCCAAGTGGATAGAGGATGACTTTGAATTCTGTCCTATTTCCCCACACCTGTGAGGATAAGCTATAAGTTTACATTGCCATGGTAAACGTTAACAGCATCGTTTTTGGGTAAAGATCTTGGAGCCCACGAGAAATTTCCTTGTGGGAAAAATGTGAGGGAGGTACATAGCTTTTCATCTTTGTAGGCATCTTATTTAGGAACCAAAATGGGAGGCAGGTTTGCATGACCTAGTTCCCAGCTTTACTTTTCCCGTTGGCTCAGTGAGTTTAGGGTCACAAGATTTATTTTTGTTTAGCAATTCCTTTTTTACTTGTTTTTTTCTTGCTTTATTATCTAGGTTTATTTGCCTCCTCTCCCATATTTTGAAAAATGTACATTTTTATTAGGAAAAAAATCTTCCAGAGATTTTCAATTAAAGTTATCAAAAAGATTATTTTATGTTCTCTATTTAGGAAAGTCAAGAAGAAACTAGTACCTTCTGAGTCTTCTCCTCTAAATATAATTCACTTTATATTCAAATTCAGTCTTTTAATTCAATTTGAATTTTTGAAAATACAGATCTATGATTATATGGTTTCAATGATCATTCTCAAATTTCTTTATAAGTGACTTCCCTATTTATGTGTTCTTAATTTCAATTAATTTGCTTGGAATACATGTGCAAGCAATTTTCAAGTAAGAACAAATAAATTATCTGTTTTCTAAGTTCCAGAATATTAGAGAAAGTCTTTCTATTTCCTATTACCTGTGTATATTCAAGTAAGATGGGTGGGAATAAAATTACTGGTTTTCAACTTCTTTCCCTCAGAACTGAATAGTTTGCTTCATTATCCTTTCATTATCCTTTAATGTTTGATGTAAAAGAGTAGAATTTTAAGAACAGACAATTTTTTTTAGGTAGCTATTTTCTATCTGGTTGTTTCTATAGTTTTGTCTTTATCCTGGTATTTCAAAATTTTTGCCAAGATTTTTCTACATGTAGGTTTTTTTTCTGATTTATCTTGAAACATGGTAAGCTTTTTTTTCATCCAAATACTGAGGCTTTAAATTCACCTAATGTTCCCTCAATTATATGTTTGATTATTGTTTTTGTGCAAATTATTCAATATTTTTCTAAAATAGTAATTAGATTGCAGTTTAATTTATTGTCTTTCATATCTCATGTTCTCTGTCATCTTGTTTCATATCTTTATTCTCTTTATTCTCTTAATATTTACTCAGAGAATGTCTCAACTTTGTTCTTCTATTGCAGTACTTTTTACTGACTCTAGGTTAGATTTTTTAATTTTGTCAAATGCGTTTTTAGTTTTCTTGTAATTCCTCCTTTGTAATCTAGTTCTCTGTCTTGGAATATAGTTCATTCATCTCTGTTTTTGTTCAATGTTATTGTGGTTTTTATCTGTTCATTTATTCTGTATAACTTCTTGGTCTTACTTCATATGAAAAAAATACATTGGTATCTTTTTTTTTTTAATCTTCAAGTTCATCTTACCTTAACTTTCTCCTGGAGCGTTTTTAAAATTTGTTTATTTGTTTTGTTTTTTCTTGTCCCTGTGTTTATCGACAGAAAGAGTGATTAGAATGTACCTTATTTAAATTTGTCTACTTGGTGTTGATCAAATCCCCTTCTAAGATGCATAGCTCAACAACAGAATGAAATGCATATATCTGGATATAGTTCTAAGATCAATATCAGGAATTCCTCTATTACAATTCTCCTAAACTTAAAGGATATATCCTACTCAACATTCCTGATTTTCTCACATTCAAAACAGAGGGAGAACGTAAAATATTTCAGTTCCCAGTATGCACTGCTACCGTAATTTTTTTTCTTTTTCAGCCACACTACCATACTTTGTTACATGTTCACAGAGCTATATATTGTTATTTTCTAAGAAACACAATTTTTGACTTGATACAGGGATGTATCGATATGGACGCAGGGAATAGAAAAAAAATGCCCTCTAGCTGCCTCAGTATGTGGCATTTATGCAATAGAGTGACAGTTTCCTGGTTTTCTGGTGGGTACCAAATTTCTACTTCTGAATCAGAGTTAGATAATGTGGAAAAACAATGAATCTTTCTACTTACTCATATTTAGAAAAGGTTCTCCTGTATAATACTGGTAGGTTATCAACTCTGCTTTTCAATCTACTTCAATTTATATTTAATTATATACAAGTTCTTCCCAGATACTAGTAATCCATTCTAGATTTTGGAGCTAGTATACACTAAATACCTCCTGAAATTATCCACTTTATTCTAACTCCACCCCATTCTGAAGTATCATCTCTTCCCCGGATTTCCACAGTAGTCTCCTGGCTGGTACACCTCCATCCATTCTGGTCTGCTAGCTATTCAATCTGCAATCGCTATATAAAGCTAGAAGATATTTGATTTTAAAAAGAAGTCTGATCTGCCACTGCCCCACTTTACCTGGCTTAAAATACTTCTGACTGCTCTTTAGACAAAAACAAAATTCTTAACATGTCCTATAATTCCCTGCAAGGTCTGGTCGTATTATCTTTTCGTTCTCATCTCATAGTACACTCTCATTTACTTTCTGTGATTTAGCCACAAGGTGCTTCTTTCAGATCCTTTAATGTGTGATGCTCCCATCCTCCACAGGATCTATACATATTCCATTGCTTTTGTCTGAAATGCTCATTTACTTAATTTGTCCAGTTCATTCATTGAGAACCTATTGTGATTATGGAAACAGAAAAGCTAAGACCTTGTCCCAGTATTGTTGGGGAGATAGAAATGTCAAAAAATAATTAAAATTTAATGTGATAAATTAAACAAATATACGGTATAATACATCTACAGATATAACTCATAGGGGAGAAAGGATCATAAATTCCATCTGAAATGAGCGTTCTGGGAAGGCTTTAAGTACATGCAAATTTCACTTATAGTTTGGAGGCATAAGTCAATAATACACTGACTCTGCTGCAGATACAAATATAAACTCTGGGAAATATAGACAAAATATCTATTTAAGAGCTCTGGAGAATGAATAAAAAGCAGGCAAATTGAAGAAAGGATTCAAAATTTGGTTGAAGTGACAGACCAGTGAGTCTCCCATTTTTGTAGTTTTTGCATAAGCTGGTTTTAGTCACAGCACAGCTGAAACTCTGATAGCAAGCCTGAAATTTTTCCTGCCAAATTAAGCAGGAAATCAGTCTTGAAGAAATCATGGCCACTGGGGAGTTAAGGGGAAAACCTGAAAGAAAAAAACACAGAGAAATACACAGACACACACACACACACACACACACACACACACACACACACACAACACACCAGGCAGATTTTAAATAACTTTCAACCCAAGAATTAAAGAACTGAGCAGAGAATGGAGCTGTTGTCTACTGCAGGCAAAACAAAGTTTACAGTTGGAATGTAATCAAGTTAATTGCCTGCCAAAACAAAATCATCAACACTCTTCATATGGATATGACAGAATACAAAGTCTCCACAACATAACATTGTTCATGTCTTAAATACAAACCAAAATTGCTTGACATTTGAGGGATCAGGAAAACATCACCCATTCCTAAGGGAAAATGCAATCAAACAGAGGCCAACCCAGATGTTAGAATCAACAGTCAAAAACTTCAAAGTAAGTAATCATTATAGCAGTAGTTTTCAAAGCATTAACTGGGATCCTTTTAGTGAATCTACAAATTCAAAATATTTTTCATAAAAATATTGTCTCACAAGAGTACATGGAAATTTCCCAGAGGTTCTACAATGTGTGATGACACCATTGCTCTAATACCATCATAAATATTCTTACATTTAAAAATCAGTGTTAACTTGCAATATGATAAATTTTGATATGTGTGATTTATATAAACAAAGGTGTTTCTAAATTTCTCAATAATTTTTAAGAAGTGCTTCTATCATTATAATGCTCAATAAGGTAAATGGAAATTTGCTCACAACGAATCAAAAAACAAGAAAGCTCAGCAGAAAAATAAATAATATAAAAATTAACTATAGAAATTTTATAACTGAAAAATATAATATTTGAATTTAATGAAAGATAACCTGATAAAGAGTAAGGAAAATTTCACCCATTTTTTGGGGGAAAATGCAATCAAACAGAAGTCAAGCAGAATGAAGCAGAATGGAGATCACAAAATAAAAAGTTGGTAAAATTGAAGATAGTTCAATAGAAATTACCCAATCATAAAAATATATAGGAA
This sequence comes from Homo sapiens, assembly GCF_000001405.40. NCBI lineage: Eukaryota > Metazoa > Chordata > Mammalia > Primates > Hominidae > Homo > Homo sapiens. Next base: position 80,142,203 of record NC_000023.11, on the reverse strand, counting down.
AAATTATAGAGAAAAAAATAAATAGAGTCTCATGGACTTTAGGTAATATCAAATGTCTAACATATGAGGTAATTTGAGTCCAGGAAGGAAAGGAGAGAGGGAAGGCATTCAAAATTCTCAGGAATATTATTTTTCAATCTAAAAATTTATAGTCAGCCAAACTAAGAGAAAAAGTATAATAAAGGAGGATTCAATTATGCATTGAAACAACATTTACCTCCCATGCACCATCTCTCAGAAAGCTTGTGGAGGGTGTGCTCATGGAAAATGACAAAATAAACTAAGGCAGAAGAAAATGTAAAATGGAGGGTATAAGGAGAAAGATAAAGAAATCTCTATAATTAAAATTGTTCAGTAAGCCTAGAGAGCAAATAGTCCAGATTGGACTAGGAAAATGGAGGGATCTAAATGCAAGTACACTCAGAAAACAAATATCAAAACACATTTTAAAAAGCAGAAATTCATAATCTGATAGTGTTGATTCTGAGAAAAAGTATACTGGGATGCTATTGGAAGATGAGGGAAAAATAACAATAGATGCAAAGGAAATTAAGCACGTGGAAAAAGGAGGCCACTTTCAATCCCAGGAAAATAATGAGCCAAATATGAACAACAAGAAGAAAAAAGGTGCATACAAAGAAATGCAATCATTGTACACTCCTCAGTTCAGCTGTGAATAGCATTTACATGACTATTAAGCCAATAAATAATTGTATTATAACTATATTTGGAAGATGGAGGAAGGTGAAATCATAGCAGGGTTGTATCAGTTAATAAGACATCATCAATAAAGTCTAACATGTATTAAGTATAAGCACATTTTTTAAAATATGGAGTTGCATGCCAGAAAAAATACCTTCAACTGTTGAAGGAGATTATCTCTGAGGACCTAGGGAGGGATAAGAAAGGGATGGCTATTTTTTGTAAGAAAAGTACTGATTTTTATAGTTCTGTTTGATAGTTGTATTACTCTAATAAAAGCAAAAATTAAATTTAAAAGCTTGAGTAAGAAAAAAATTTCCTAAAACAGAACTTGAAATCTGTAGTTTAAATGAACAAACCATATCTAGGGAAAAACTAATAAAATATAATCCATATAAAGACATACCTTGATGAACTTACCAAATTTTAAATGTAAAGATGGAATTTTTAATGAATATAATGTAGGTCATTTGAGTGATGGATACCCTAAAAACCTTGAGTTGACCACTGTGCATGTAACAAAATTGCACTTGTACTCCTCAAATTTATATAAATAAAAAATAAAGATGTAAAAATAAAAAAAATAGGACAATTAGAAAAGAGCAAGAGCTATGAAGTGGAGAAGAGGAGGAAATATGGTAATCAGGAACAGACCAAAAAGGTGGTTGCCAAAACTGAGCCCAAATGCAGCTTTCAATTCCTAAGGAGACAAAGCAAAAGTTAAATATATTGTGTTACATAGTTCATATTATCTGATAAAAATACATAGAATGAGCCAAAAAGCAGACTTCTTTGTAATGTAAAACTCAAATGAATAAATCTTGTTAATTTTTATAGACAGAACATCTGTACCCCACAAGACACAGTGAATAAAACATGGAATTTGGTGTTAGCACAACCAGACTAAAATTCTAGCAATAGCATATACTTTGGGCCATTTTAAGCCTCAGTTTTTTGGTTTGTAATAATCAGGATAATAGTATCTCTCTTACAGGATATTTTCTGAAGATTACATAAGATAATATAGGTAAACTTCTAACCACAGTGTCTTCCCCATATTAATTATTTAGTAAGTGTTGGAGTTATATGTGTATGGGTGTCTTTTTAATGGAGGCTTTACTAAACACACAAATATTTTTTTCATATGGTCATTTGTCATATCAATTCTGAGTAAAAGTCAAGGATATGATAGTAACATATATTTCTGTGAGGAAATTTCAAAGAAAGCTGAAGCTCACTGTCACATAGCCTAAATGTGGTAGAGCCTGGAGTAAAACCCAACTGTCCTGATTTCCAGTTCATGCTTCTTTCACCATGCCTTATCTTGCTGCTTGAAAACATCAGAACTTAACTAGATGTTGGGAATTACATTGCCTGCAATGGTTTTCTCCAGCCCATCCATTTGTTTTGTCTGATTCCTAGTTGTGCAGCAAGCAAAGGGGATATTATAATTGTTTATTATTGTAACAGTATTGAGATCTGAGTAGGGAAGAAATTTTTACTTGCTTTACGTAGCCATTTTATTAGCTGTTTTCCTCTCTGCAGGCCTGTGTCTGCCACATGTTACACTGTTTTCTTTTCTGTTACTTAAACTGGCCCCAAAGCCTGCAATTCGATGCTGCTTTAACTAACCCCCAGCAGGCAGAGTGTCAGGAGGGCACTCGTCTGGCATGCGCCTTCCCTTTTAAACGTATGTTTGTCAAACTGTCGTTTAACCTTTAAGACCACTAATTTGTTAGCAGATTTTCAACAGGCCTTATAAGGACATAACGTCCCTGATGGGCCAAAGCATTTCAAGGGAGATTACCAACTTAAGGACCATTCCACCTGGAGCCACCAGTGCCTGAGAAATTTGGGTTCTTATTTCAGGTGGCTGGAATGTGTGTGTGTGCAGAAAACAGACTTCTATGCAACACTCAGAAGTCTAATAGCCAAGAGCCATTTGTATGTAGATAGCAGCTATAATCAGATACTTAATCAAGACAACTCAAGCAGTTAGGCATGCTATTTATTATTTGGTGGACCCAAAGGAAAGTTTTAATGTGGAAGAATTAGAAAATTGGGAGAGAATAAACTTTGGAAGTAGAATTTCATGGAATGGAACAGCATTAGGCAGCACAGCTTAATTAAAACTCATGCCTGACTCACAACTTGAGTTTCAGTGCAGCCTTTTTTCAGTTAACAGCATGAACAGTAGGACAATATGAAATGGTAAACAAAGGGCCTAACTTTTCTAAAGCAGAACTTAGTTAATAGGAATTTGGGTACTGGAGAGATTTGTAGGAAGGAGTTCTATTCCAGTTTAGATCTTCTTTTGGCAAGCTATTCAGTTCATTTAATATACATTTTAGGTAGGTTTATATCCTGGCATTTTGCCAAGCAATTTAAGGTAGCTTATAGGTTAAAACATAAAACAAAGTAAAACATTTAAAGGAGAAACAGCAGAACTGTCTATAGTAATGCTTCTCAAACGTGAGCATCCAACCTGAATAATCTAAAGAACATGTTAAAACACAAATTGTAAGCCCACCCCCAAAGTATCTATTTCAGTATGTTTGGGATGAGGAATGGGATTCTGATTTCTTACAAGCTCTCACTTGATTTTGATGCTACTGGTCCAAGCACCACACCTTGAGAAGCAATGGTCTAAAGAAAACAGAAGAGATGTTACCTAGGCCCCTGAGATTAGTCAGTTACTACAACTTGACCCCCATTTGGAAGGAAATGAATATTTACCAAGCATCTTTTTTGGGCCAGCATTGTGTTAGATACTTTATGTATGTCTTTTTATTTACTTTAATTTAGGGTTACGATTCCAGAAAGCTAGGTTAAAAAAAATATATAAAAATATATTGGATTAAGTCATTTTTAATTCCTGATAGGGAGACAGTTTATGTTCCTCTGTGGAGACAAAAACAATTTTTTTTTTTTTTTTTTGAGACGGAGTCTCGCTCTGTCGCCCAGGCTAAAGTGCAATGGCGCTATCTCGGCTCACTGCAAGCTCCGCCTCCCGGCTTCACGCCATTCTCCTGCCTCAGCCTCCTGAGTAGCTGGGACTACAGGCGCCTGCCACCATGCCCGGCTATTTTTTTTTGTATTTTTAGTAGAGACGGGGTTTCACCATGTTAGCCAGGATGGTCTCGATCTCCTGACCTCGTGATCTGCCCATCTCGGCCTCCTAAAGTGCTGAGATTACAGGCGTGAGCCACCGTGCCCGGCCAAAAACAAAATTTCTTAAACCAGTACCAAATGTTCCCTTGGAAGAAAGGACCTACCCAAAGCAGAATCATGGAAATGAACAGTTAGTCATTGTTATAACCCCATCTCCCAGTTTTACATCTCCCACCCCATATATTTTCCCACTCTATGTCTTTTCCTTAGAAAGTCTTACTCCCAAAGATCTATCAACTATAATAAGGTATCAGTTGATACATTTTGTCAATAACATTCAATGGGTACCTACTTTTTACCACCTCAATGTTAGATTATACTGAGATGGCTATAAAGATAACTAAAATAAGCCTGATTTTGAGGAAGAAATAAATGTAGAAAGAATAAACTGTTGAATGGGTCATGTGAATCAAAAGAGAAATCTATCTTGCTAAAGGAGGAAAACGTATTACATTTGTTTATAGAAATAAAAGGAGTTTAGCTAGTAAATTTAGAAAAGTATGCAAGTTAATGAGAACTTATGGAAAAACAAATAAAACTGAGAAGGATCCAGGAGATCTGTGGGATACTTTACATTCTTTTGAACAAAATCATGAGAGAAGACAATAATGCAGTGGGATTTGGGTCAAACAGAGTGAAAGTTTCAGTAAGGGCTGAACTGATCAGGAACCATTCCTGAATACTCTGATGATAAGACTCCCCTTATGATTATGGCCATAAAGTTGAAAAGTATATGCACATGAAGTCAATAGTAATTAGGCATGGTGACAAATTTGACTGAGCTAACTTCATCTGGGGGGAAGTTCTGGTAAGAAGTGTGAGAGAGTGAAGGTCTGGTAAGAAATATGTCATAGACAAAAGAGGAGGTCATTAGGGAAATGCAGTTTGGTTACATATGAATGAGTCAAATTGACCTCACACTCTTGAGATCTTAAAGGTATGGTGCTAACCAGTTGTTTCTCTCACTGACCTTGGTCAAATTTAATGTACCTTATAAATCGTGTGGTTACATATTATTACCTGGAAATAACCTTGAATTAGGACATACCAGAGGCTCATTGTCTTGTTGATTTGTAGAATCTATTTTGGGAATGCAGAAACTTGAGTAGCTGATTCTCTCTGTGATTTCTATTTGCCAGGAGGATTGGCCTTACCCAGATGGAATAGTAGAAAGATAACAAGGAACCTGAGTTCTTTGAAGAAACTGAGTATTTGAAGAATACCTTCCCCCAGGGGTATTTCCATTTTACTGAAGCGATTGGAAACACTGACAGATTTTCTGAGACCCCTCAAATGAATCTCTAATGGTGGTATCTCAGACACCACAACAGGCACATACATGGTTCATCTGAATTTATACAAGAGCATAAAAGGCTAAAGTTCTACTTCTTCTTAGACTCTTTTTTCCTCTTGGTCTTGCCTTTCTTTTTTTGTGTGTGTCATTGGTTTCTTTATTACCTGTCCCTCTCACTAGATTGTAAACTTCACGAAGGTAGGCACCATGTGTATCCCAGATGCCTATCATTTTGCCTGGCTTGCAGTAGGTTTTCAACAAATATTGGAAGAATGAATGAATTCAGAAATAGAAAAATAGAAAAAAAGCATTCTGAATTCCTCACTATTGGCTATGAGCCTTGTCTTTGAGATCTGGCACCCATTTTGTTTAGTCTGGATATGGTTAAGTTTTTTTTTTTTTTTAAAGTACTACCTGAGGTCAAGGGAAGTTAGAAGTCTAGCCAATGTACTCATAGGCTAAGCTGTAAATTTTGCAGAATTTATTTACTTTCAGAAAGGCAACACCCAGAACAGTTAGAATAAGCAATGTGCATTTTGATTTGTATCTTCTACTTTTCCACTTCTACTTCTTCCTTTTCCTTTTTAATGCACATATGCCTCAGAGCCTCAGACTCCCTAGTTGGAGATTGTTCCAATCAGTCACATTTCAGAGCCAAATCTCCTATGGTGTATTTGAAATCATAAATATCCATCCAGGCCCCGACTGGATCTTGCTTGTTGATTGGGTCGAAGAAGTTTCTTAAAGTGAAAGGACCAACGTTTGAGGCACTGTATCTCCATTTTTTTTTTTTTTGGCTTTTAGTGGCTGCAGTACTGCAAATGGTTTCAACATTAATCTTCAGAGCATTAGACAACTAGAATCCATTACAACTTTGTAGATTTTTGTGTTGGCATGTTCACCAGTTATTTTAATTGAATCGACATTGTCTTCATCTGTTTTTCCTTAGGGTGGCTAGATGTGTCCCATTAAGCCAAGTTTCCTTGCCTCTAAGCACCTTATTTTGATAATATTATAAAGTAGGTTAGCTCGGTATGGGGTATGCGGTTTGTGGACCCATTAATGTAATTAGTTCATGGGATAAACAGCAGCAAGAATACCATATGAAATGAGACCTTCTCTCTTCGTCACTCCAGCATCACTGGCACCTACAAGAGGGTTTAGCCCTTGACAGACACTCAAAAACAAAACAAAACAAAAGAAAAACACACCTATTGACTAAAAACATGAATCTTCCAAAACTTAAGGTAATGTTTCTAAATGTGAACATTTTTAAAATATTGACAATAATATACCCAAAGCAACACTTAATAAATGAATGACCAAATAATTTATATCCAAATTTAAATAAAGGGGCCCAGAGTATAGTCTCAGAAAGATATGTGTATCAATAGCTGTGCCCCAATCAATTGCATTATACTTCATGAAAAGAGATTATGTGTAAACGGAAAAGATCTCTGTTTGCAAGGAATTTAGGAAGGGTTAAATCCAAAGAGGGACAATTTTTCAGTGTCTCTCAAGACCTTTCCAAAGAGGAGAGTGACCTCACCAGCTGACCTAAGTATTCAATTCCCCATCACAGATTTATCTCCATGATGGAAGGAGTATATGTTGTTTTTCCAGTGGAGCATATGAATTATTCAGAGTCAACTAATGTCATCCAGCACACCACTCTTGCTTTGATTTTGGGCTTAATGGTCAATCTCCAGGTTATAATTTGGTTTATTCATTAATTAATTCATTCAATGAATATGTACTGATACTGTACAAATATGCACTATGCTGGGCATATTCTAAGATTTTGGGTGTTCTAGGGATACAACATTCAACAAGACAATCAACATCTCTGCCCTAGTGGAGCATACATTGCAGCAAAAGGATACAAAATATAAAAATTAAACAAACAAGAAAAAGTTAGATAATGAAAACTGCTATGATGACAATAAAACCAAGTAATGTAATAGACAGTAACTGGATAAGGAGATGGGAGGAGATCACTAGGGAGATGAATACAGACCACTCTGAGGATATAGTATTTGGGTTGAGGTTCAAATGATAAGAAGAAGCAAACCACGTTAAGATATTAACAAAGAATATTTGAGGAGTAGGGGACAGCAGATGCAAAGAACCTGAGGTAGCAAAGAACTTTATGTATGAGAGGAACAGAGGAAGATCAATCTGGTTGAAGAGTGTTGAACATGTGGGAGGCATTGTATGATAAGAGATATGAGAGGTCAACAAGAGCTAGATCTTCTTGGGCCTTGCGGGTATGCAGTTTGTATTTTATTCTACCTATAATAGAAAGGCATTGGGAGGCTTCAAGTGGGGTTGATTATTTATACTGCTGTGTAGAGAGTGGAGTTAGTTGGGAGCAAAAGTGGAAACTTGCAATGATCTAGGAAAGAGATGGTGATGGCTTAGACTAGTGAGGTAGCAGTGGAAGTGGTAAGAAGTGGTTGCAGTCTGCTTATATTTTGAATATACAGCAGCAACAGAATTTGTTGATGGGATTGGATGTAGATATAAGGCAAGAAGAGGAATCAAGATTGACTTTCAGATTTTTGCCCAGTGTGACTAAGTGAACTATATTCAATCTACAGAAGGAGATTAGTAGATGAGTAGGTTTGTGTGTGTATGTGTGTGCATACAGATTGGATTAAGGATTTTTGCTTTAACTTTCCACAGAGTAGAGAATGTGTATATTACCTAAGTGGTTTGTGGGCAACTTATGTGATTTCTATTCTCTACTTTCTTATCTGTAAAATATGTATAATGATTGCAGGCAGCTTGTGTTAATCACCTTAATTAGACCCTCTGCCTTATTGCAAGGACAGAGGGCTTTCTGTATCCCAGGTTCTTGCCCTAGTGTACCGGAAAAATTGAATCACACATGGGCTTGGAGGATGGGTGCAAGGTTTTATTGAGTGGTAGCGGTAGCTCTCAGTGAGGTGGATGGGGAGCTAAAAGGGGAATGGAGTGGGAAGGTGGTCTGCCCCTAGAGTAAGGCTGCCCAGCAATCAGACTCTTTTCGGACTGCCCCTGACTGAATTCTGTGTCATCCCACCTCGATAACCTGCCAGTGTCTGCTGGTGTCTGTTGCGGTGCTCTTCTGGTCCTATTGACGTCCAGCTGCTTGTGTCTGCGCCTACTAGGGTCTCAGGTGTTCATGGGAACAGGATAGGTGGGTGTGGTGGTCCAGAGTCATCTTGGAAAATGCAACATTTAGGCATAAAAACAGGAGTGACTGTTCTCACTTAGGTCTGTGAACACAGGCTCGAGGGTGGAGGTCTTACCAGGGATCCCCTCCTTCTCTACCTAGCACTTCCCTGCCACCTTCCATGTGAATGATGGAAAATATATTTTACAGTATAGTTGAATGTCTATATATGAATATATACATCTAGATTTAAACAGAAGTTTTCTGATACAACACTTTACCCATTTTACATGAGATGCACTTTAATATTATTTAGTTTTATTCTCTCCCATAAAAATTCCATTAATCATGACTATTAAGTTGAATTCATGAATTGCAGTTGAAAACACTGGACCTTAAAAGAACACTGTCTAGAATTCCATGATTCTAAGTAAAGAACATGATTTTAAGTAAAGAAGCAATCTTATTAAGGGGACTAGACCTGGCTATACTAAAAATAGCCTATTAAGAAGTAGAGGTAAGAGTGAAGGTAAATTGCCATATCTGGGGCAAAATAATATAGTGATGACAGATGAAAGTCAAATAGACATTCAAACAGTCATTAGGCTGTTCATTAACATGTTTGATTCATTGTAAGGTAGACCAGAAGGAAGAGTACTAAAAAATCCAATCAAATTCATAAGGTGTACTACCAAACTGGAACTTATTAATTTACAACTATATACAATAATATGTTCATGGTTCTGCCACTTATTAGCTGGCCGAACATGACCAAGTTATGTTTGTAATCTTTATTATTGTCATCATAAGGATATAATGAAAGTCAAATGAAATAGTAGATGTAGGAAAGCTTTGAAAACTATGAAATAATGACAGTGATCACATGTATATAACATATACAACCATAATAATAGCTTCCATTTATTCAGAGATTACTCATTCCAGACACTGAGTTAAAACCTTTAAGTGCATTTTCTCATCTAATACTCACAACAGCCTTTTAAGATGTGTACAGACAGCAAAGCTAAAAAAGCATGCTGTAACACATGCCCACTGGGGCTTCAGGAGCTGTAAACACTCAACTCTAGATGCTGCTTTGGGGTCAGAGCCCAAAATGCTCCCCACAACCTGCCCCTCTGCATACGCCCCCTAGGGGGTTGAGCAGCTGGGCATCAAAAAAGCGAGCCACACCCCTGTTGCACGCCCTGCAACAAGGATGAGGGAACTTCTCAAAAAATTTTTAAAGCCTCTAATATAGCTGAATCTTCTCTTTTCAAAATTGCTAACTGGCACATAATAATTATACACATTTATGGAGTACAGTGTGATAGTTTGATACTTATATACAACATGCAATAATCAACTCAGGTAATTCGCATATTTATTACCTCAAACGTTTCTCATTTCTTTTTATTGGGAACATTCAAAATCCTCTCTTCTAGCTATTTGAAAATACAGAATAAATAATTGTTAACTATCATTACCCTATAGTACTATATAACATTATAACCTACTTATCCTCTCTAGCTCTACTTTTACATCCGTTAATCAACCTCTCTCTAGCCCTCATTCCCCATACCCTTCCCAGTCTGCCTACATGTAAGACTACTAAACTATTAGAATAAAACATAGGGGAAATACTTCAGGGCATCGGTCTGGGCAAAGATTTTATGGATAAGACCTCTTTTTTAATAATAAAGAAGCTGAGTTTCAGAGGGAGGTAATCTGTAGCCAAAAGTCACAAAACTGACTGGTAACAATTGAGATTAGGATTTAGATCTGCCGATTTATTGGCTCTGGGGCATTTTTGTTAACACCTTGCAATACCCTTCATGTCAGAATTTCTTTTGGCTTTTGCTAGTGATCTATGCTTACAGCACATTTTAGGGAAAAACACACAAAAAGAACCTTCTTTAATGTGATTCATGTTTATTCAGAGTGAGCTCCCATACATTCTGATTCATTTCAAACCAAAGTTGGTACATATATATGCACAAAGGGACTGTTAATTAACAGGCTGGGCATCAAAATAGCCTTGTTCATCTACATCATGTGAGGATGTCTTCAAGGAGAACTACAAACCACTGCCTGACAAAATAAGACACAAACAAATGGAAGAATATTCCATGCTCATGTATAGAAATAATCAATATTGTGAAAATGGCGGTTCTGCCCAAAGTAATTTATAGATTCAATGCTATCCCCATCAAGCTACCACTGATTTCTTCACAGAATTGGGAAAAACTACTTTAAAGTTCATATGGAACCAAAAAAGAGCCCACATTGCCAAGACAATCCTAAGCCAAAAGAACAAAGCTGGAGGCATCATGCTACCTGACTTCAAACTATACTACAAGGCTACAGTAACCAAAACAGCATGGTAGTGGTACCAAAACAGAGATATAGACCAATGGAACAGAACAGAGGCCTCAGAAATAACACCACACATCTACAACCATCTGATCGTTGACAAACCTGACAAAAACAAGAAATGGGGGAAGGATTCCCTATTTAATAAATGGTGTTGGGAAAACTGGCTAGCCATATGTAGAAAGCTGAAACTGGATCCCTTCCTTACACCTTATACCAAAATTAACTCAAGATGGATTAAAGACTTAAATGTAAGACCTAAAAGCATAAAAACCCTAGAAGAAAACCTAGGCAATACCATTCAGGACATAGGCATGGGCAAAGACTTCATGACTAAAACACCAAAAGTAATGGCAACAAAAGCCAAAATAGACAAATGGGATCTAATTAAACTAAAGAGCTTCTGCACAGGGAAAGAAACTATCATCAGAGTGAACAGGCAACCTACGGAATGGGAGAAAATTTTTGCAATCTATCCACATGACAAAGGGCTAATATCCAGAATCTACAAAGAACTTAAACAAATTTACAAGAAAAAAACAACCCCATCAAAAAATGGGCAAAGGATATGAACAGACACTTTTCAAAAGAAGACATTTATGCAGCAAACAGACACATGAAAAAATGCTCATCATCACTGGTCATCAGAGAAATGCAAATCAAAACCACAATGAGATACCATCTCACGCCAATTAGAATGACGATCATTAAAAAGTCAGGAAACAACAGGTGCTGGAGAGGATGTGGAGAAATAGGAACACTTTTACACTGTTGGTGGGAGTGTAAATTAGTTCAACCATTGTGGAAAACAGTGTGGCAATCCCTCAAGGATCTAGAACTACAAATATCATTTGAACCAGCAATCCCATTACTGGTTATATACCCAAAGGATTATAAATCATGCTATTATAAAGACACATGCACATGTATGTTTATTGCGGCACTATTCACAATAGCAAAGACTTGGAACGAACCCAAATGTCCATCAATAATAGACTGGATAAAGAAAATGTGGCACGTATACCCCATGGAATACTATGCAACCGTAAAAAGAATGATTTCATGTTCTTTCCAGGGACATGGATGAAGCTGGAAACCATCATTCTCAGCAAACTATCACAAGGACAGAAAACCAAACACCACATGTTCTCACTCATAAGTGGCAGTTGAACAATGAGAACACATGGACACAGGGAGAGGAACATCACACACTGGAGCCCACTGAGGGGTGGGGGGCTGGGGGAGGGATAGTGTTAGGCGAAATACCTAATGTAAATGACGAGTTGATGGGTGCAGCAAACCAACATGGCACATGTATACCTCCACAACAAACCTGCACATTGTGCACTGTACCCTAGAACTTAAAGTATAATAATAAAAAATGAATTCTCTTTTACAGTTGTATAAAGTACTTCTACGTAATTATATTACTCAACCATTGCTGCATAACAAATTACTCCCAAACCTAGAAGCTGAAAACAATAAGCATTTATTATCATCCAATTTCTGTGAGTCAGGAATCTAGGAGCAGCTTAACTGGCTGATTCTGGTTCCTGGTCTTTTATGAGATTGCAAGATCACTGATGATACTACTGTTAGGAGGGCTAATTTCTTTATCATGTTAACTTTTCAATAGAGCTGCTTAAAACATCGTTTCATCTTCAAATTAAGTGATACAAGAAAGACAGAGAAAGCAAGCAAACAAGAGAATGTCCCAAATGAAGTCTTTTATAACCTTTTCTTGGTGGTGACATACTATACCTCTTATTGATAGATGGATCTATATTTTTCCCCCCTTGAACCTAGGCAGGTTTGTGACCAGTCTATCAATACAATATGGGAAAAGTGATGCTGCATGGTTTTTGAGGCTTTCATAAAAGGCAATCAGCTTCTACTTTGCTAGATGAAACACTAGTTGGAGCACTGAGAAATTAATTAAATTCAACTACTTTGAGGCTGACATGCTATGGAGAACCAAGCCAGGTTTAAAGAGATTGTGCAAGCTCTCTTACAACAAGCAGTTGTAATATTTAAATTTATCTTAGCCCAGGTACAAGATATGTGATTGAAGGAGTCTCTACATTAATTCCAACTCCCAACTGTTGAACTGTCCTACTTTCAAATTTTCCCAGCTGAGTCCAGTAAGTCATGAATTTTTAGGCTCAAAGCTAAGCAGAACTGTGTTTTAAGGGATCAATACCTGGTGTAGACTGCAAAAGTGAAACCAGGGTCATCTTTCCTTGAAAAAAAAATAAATGTGGAAACTCCTTATGTGAAGTTCTGTATTTGGTTTGTAAATCAAGGCTGCCTCTCTGGGTCAAAGTGACTTAGCTCCTATCTAGGCAAGAGTGAGATGTCTCATTTGTATTAATACAATTTCAGACAGCAAAGTTTCTGATAGTCCATGATTTTAGAGAACAATGTTTCTTAATGAGGAAGAAAGCAGCATTCACTGAAACAAAGAGTTGTTAAGTCACTTTTAAACTGTAGCATGTTATAGGGACAAATATTGTTTTGTTATCTTTACTGCTACATTATCTACATTTATCTGTGTCTGTTATCCCACCTCAATAGTGAAAGAGTAGATTATAACTCAAGGTTTTAAAAAATTTCTGAATAGTTATGAGAGACAAGATATTCCAGCCCCTAGTGAGTTAAAGGAGCACGGTAGGAAGAATCAATTGTTGTCTTAGATGGAGGTGAGGTACTGGTGGTGGAAGCATCAAGCATCAGCCAGGAACAGCAAGTCTGGTATGAAAGGGCAGGCATGAGGAAACAGGATGCTATAACAGACGGGGTGGGAAACTTCAATACTCCACTGACAGCACAAGACAGATAATCAACACAGAAAGTTAACAAAGAAACAATGGACTTAAACTATACACTAGAACAAATAGACTTAGATATTTATAGAACATTATTCCCAACACGTATAGAATATACATTTTTCAAAATAGACCATATGCTACACCACAAAACAAGTGTTAATAAATTTAAGAAAATCAAAATCATATCAAGTATCTTCTCAGACCAGAGTGGAATAAAACTGGAAATCAACTCCAAAAGGAATCTTCCAAACCATACAAATATGTCGAAATTAAGTAATCTGCTCTTTAATGATGTTTGGGTTAACAATGAAATCAAGATAGAAATTTAAAATTTATTTGAAATGAATGATAATAGTGAAAAAACTTATCAAAACCTCTGGGATACAGCAAAAGCACTGCCAAGAAGAATGTTCATAGTGTTAAATACCTCAAGGAGCTAGAGAAAAAAATAGCAAACTAAACCCACAGCTAGCAGAAGAAAAGAAATTAACAAAGATCAGAGCAAAACTAAATAAAATTAAAACCAAAAATATACAATAGATAAATAAAAGAAAAAGCTGGGTCTTTGAAAGATAAACAAAATTGATAGACAATTAATAAGATTAACTAAGGAAAGAAGAGAGAAGATCCAAATAAGCTCAATTAGAAATGAAATGGAAGATGTTACAACTGATACCACAGAAATACAAAAGATCATTCAAGGCTACTGTGAACACCTTTACATGCACAAACTAGAAAATCTAGAGGAGATGGATAAACTCCTGGAAAACACAACACTCCTAGATTAAATTAGAAAGAAATAGAAACCCCAAACAGACCAATAGCAATAAGCCAGATTGAGTCTGTAACAGAAAATTGCCAACAAAAATTCCTGAATTCTATCAGACATTCAAAGAAGAATTGTTACCAATCTTACTGACACAATTCCAGAAGATAGAGAAAAAGAGAATCTCCCTAAATCATTTTATGAAGCCAGTATCACCCTAATACTAAAGCCAGAAAAGGGCAAAACAAAAAAAGAAAACTACAGACCAATATGCCTAATGGACATAGATGCAAAAATCTTCAACAATATTCTAGCTAACTGTACCCACAAGCATATCAAAATGATAATACACCATGATCAGTTGTGTTACATACCCGAAATGCAGGGATGTTTTACCATATATGTCAACAAATGTGATACATCACATGACAGAATGCAGAAAAAGCGTTTGGTAAAATCCAGCATCCCTTTATAATAAAGACCCTCAACAAAATAGGCATAGCAGTGACTTACCTCAAAGTAATACAAGCTGTACATGACAAACCCACAGTCAATGTCATACTGAATGGGTAAAAGTTGAGTGCATTTACCCTGAGAACTGGGACAATGCAAGGATGCTCACTTTCACCATTTCTATTCAATATAGTAATAGAAGTCCTAGCCAGAACAATCAGACAAGAGAAAGAAATAAAGGACATCCAAATCTAAAAAGATAAAGTCAAACTCTCACTGTTCACTGATGATATAATTGTATACCTAGAAAACCCTAAAGACTCATCTGAAAAGCTCCTAGATCTGATAAACAGATTTAGTAAAGTCTCAGGACACAAAATCAATGTACACAACCGGTAGCATTGCTATACACAATGACCAAGCTAAGAATCAAATCAGCAACTCAATTCCTCTTACAATAGCTGGAAAAATAAAACCTAAGGAATATACCTAACCAAGGAGGTGAAAGATTTCTACAAGGGAAACTATAAAACACTGCTGAAATAAATCACAAACAAATGGAAACCCCTTCCATGCTCATGGATAGGTAGAATCAATATTGTGAAAATTACCATACTTCCCAGAGCAATCTACAGATTCAATGCAATTCTCATTGAAATACCATCATCATTCTTCAAATGACTAGATAAAGCAATTCTAAAATTCATATAGAATAAAAAAGGTGCCCACATAGCCAAAGCAATACTAAGCAAAAAGAACAAATCTGGAAGCATCAAATTACCTGACTTCAAATTATACTACAGGGCTATAGTTAACCAAAACAGCATGGTAATGGTATAAAAATAGGCACATAGGCCAATGGAACAGAATAGAAAACTCAGAAATAAAGCCAGATATTTACAGCCAACTGATCTTTGAAAAAGCAAACAAAAACATAAAGTGGGGAAAGGACACCCTATTCAACAAATCATTCAGGGATAACTGGCAAGCCACTTGTGGAAGAATAAAACTGTATCCTCCTCTCTCACTTTACAAAAAAATCAATTCAAGATGGCTCAAAGACTTAAATCTAAGACCTGAAACCATAAAAGTTATAGAAAATAACATCATAAAAACTTTTCTAGACCTTGGCTTAGGCAAATAATTCATGACTAAGACTCTAAAAACGAATGCAATAAAAACACAAATAAATAAATGGAACCTAATTAAACTAAAAGGCTTCTTCACAGCAAAAGAAATAATCAGCAGAGGAAACAGACAACCCACAGAGAGGGAGAAAATATTTACAAACTATGCATCCAACAAAAGACTAATATTCAGAATCTATAAGGAACTCAAATCAACAAGAAAAAAAATAATCCCATCACAAAATGGGCAAAGGACATGAATAGACAGTTGTCAAACAAGATATACAAACAGCCAACAAATATATGAACAAATGCTAAATATTACTAATTACTAAGGAAGTGCAAATTAAAACCACAATGAGATACCACATTACTGCTGCAAAAATGGCCATAATTAAAAAGTCAAAAAACAATAGATTTTGGCATGGATGTGTTGAAAAGGGAGTACTTTTACACTGCTGGTACAGCTACTATGGAAAACTGTATGAAGATTCCTTAAAGAATTAAATGTAGAACTACCATTCAATCCAGTATTCCCACTTCTGTGTATCTACACAAAAGAGAAGAAGTCATTTTATGAAAAAGACACATGCACACACAGGTTTCTAGCAGCACAATTTGCAATTGTAAAAATATGGAACCAACCTAAGTGCTCATCATCCCACAAGCAGATAAAGAAAATGTGATATATATATATATATATATATATATATACACACACACACACACACACACACACACACATACATACATACCATGGCCATAAAAATGAAGTAATATCATTTTCAGCAACTTGGATTGAGCTATAGGTGATTATTCTAAGTGATGTAACTCAGGAATTGAAAAGCAAATATTGTATGTTCTCACTTATAAATGAGAGCTAAGTTATGAGGCTGCAAAGGCATAAGAATGATATAATGGGCTTTGGGGTCCCAAAAGAAGCTTGGGATGGGGCTTAGAGATAAAAGAGGACATATTGGGTACAGTGTACACTGCTTGGGTGGCATGTAAACCAAAGTCTCATAAATCACCACAAAGAATTTTTCCATGTAACCAAAAACCACCTGTACCTCAAAAACTATTAAAATAAATATTAATTATTAATAAAAATCAGTAGCATTTCTATATGCTAACAGTGAACAATCTGGAAAAGAAATTTAAAAAGTAATCCTATTTACAGTAGTGACAAATAAAAATAAATATCTAGGAATTAACCAAAAAAGTGAAAGACCTCTATAATGAAAAGTATAAAACACTTATAAATGAAATTGACGAGGACACCAAAAATGGAATGATATTCCATGTAGATGGATTAGAAGAAACAATGTTGTTAAAATTCCCATACTACCGAAAGCAATCTACAGATTCAATGCAATACCTATCAAAATTGCAATGACATTCTTCACAGAAATAGAAAAAAAATCTTAAAATTTATATGGAACCACAAAAGACCCAGAATAGCCAAGCTATCCTAAGCAAAAAGAACAAAACTGGAGGAATCACATTACCTGACTTCAAATTATGCTACAGAGCTATAGTAACAAAAACAGCATGTTATGGGCATAAAAACAGACAAATGGACCCATAGAACAGAATAGAGAACCCAGGAACAATTCCACAGACCTACAGTGAATTCATTTTTGACAAAGGTGCCAAGAACATACAATTGGTAAAGACAGTCTCTTCAATAAATGGTGTGGAGAAATCTGGATTTCCATATGCAGAAGAATGAAACTAGATACCTATTTTTGCCATACACAAAAATCAAATCAAAGTGGATTGAAGACTTCAGTCTAAGACCTCAACTATGAAACTACTACTAGAAAACATCAGGGAAACTCTCCAGGACATTGGTCTGGGGAAAAGTTTTTTGAGCAATAACCCACAAACACAGGCAACCAAAGCAAAAATGGACAAATTGGATAATATCAAGTTAAAAAGCTTCTGCACAGCAAAGAAAGCAATCAACAAAGTGAAGAGGCAACCCACAGAATGGGAGAAAGTATTTTTAAACTACTCATCTGACAAAGGATTAATAGCCAGAATATATAAGTAGCTCAAACTACTCTACAGGAAAAAATCTAGTAATCTGATTTTTTAAAATGGAAAAGTAAGTGTAGAAAAGGGGACCCTTGTACACTGTTGATGGGAATGTAAATTAGTAGAACCACTATGGAGAACAGTTTGGAGGTTCCTCAAAACACTAAAAATAGAGCTACCATATGATTCAGTAATCACACTGTTAGGTATATGCCCATAAGAAAGGAAATTAGTATATCACAGAGATATCTGCACTCCCGTGTTTGTTGCAGGACTGTTCACAATGGCCACAGTATGGAAGCAACCTAAGCATTCATCAACAGATGAATGGATAAAGAAAATGTGGTACATATACATAATGGAGTACCATTTAGCCATTAAAAAAAGAATGAGACCCTGCAATTTGCAACAACATGGATGTAACTGGAGGTCATTATATTAAGTAAAATAAGCCAGGAACAGAAAGACAAACATTGCATGTTTTCACTTATTTGTGGGATCTAAAAATCAAAACAATTGAACTAATGGACATAGAATAGCAGAAGGAAGGTTACCAGAGGCTGAGAAGTGGAGTGGAGTGGGGATAGAGGTAGGGATGGTTAATGTATGGACAAAAATAAGAATGAATAAGACCTATTATTTGATAGCACAAAAGAGTGACTGTAGTCAAGGTATTAAACTGTTCTCACATTGCTATTAAGCGATACCGGAGACTGGATAATTTATAAAGCAAAGAGTTTTAATTGGCTCATGATTCTGCAGATTGTACAGGAAGCATGGCTGTGGAGACCTCAGGAAACTTACAGTCATGGCAGAAGGCATGTCTTACATGGTCAGAGCAGGAGAAGGTGAGGGGCGGAGGTGTTACACACTTTTAAACAACCGAATCTCACAAACACTCACTCACTATCACAAGAGCAGCACGAAGAGGAAATCCGCCCCTGTGATTTAATCACCTTCCACCAGGCCCCACCTCCAACATTGGGAAATATGATTTGACATGAAATTTGGGCACGGACACAGACCCAAACCATGTCAGTCAATAATAATTTAATTGTACATTCTAAAATAACTAAAAAAGTATAATTGGATTGTTTGTAACACAAAGGATAAATTCTTGAGGTGATGGATACCCAATTTTACATGATGTGATTATTATACCTTTCATGACTGTATCAAAACATCTAATGTACCCCATAAATATATACAGCTACTATGTACCCACAAAAAATAAAAATTAAAAAGTGACCCCCTGTTGATGCCTTATGTAACAGTGGAGTTTATTTGATTTCATTTGCACATGATTTGTCAGGCACAATCTGGAGAGGTGGTACTTAAGCCACAGCAGTTCCTTTTGTCATCTAACAAAGGAAAGACATCAGGAGGAAATTCTAAGCTAGAGAAAATTTCCCATCCATAAAGGGGATGTGATTGTGATGAATTACAGCTTCATCCAAGGGAAGACTGGATGTTTATGCCTAAGTACACACAGCATGTACTCATTAAGTTTGCTACAGTAACATTTTGCCTACCTTTCTGGCAACCATGAAATCCTGTTGGTAGAAGGGAAGCTTCCAAGTCACAGCACAGATTCCTTTATCCCAGCACTGTCTGTTAAGAATTACTTGCTTTGAGGATATTCCTTTATGGGAATTGGTCCAAGCTTCAATCACCAAGGCCAGCCTAGCACAATCTCGTGAAGTCAGTGAGTAAATTTTCAGAACTTTCGGCCTCCTTTTGTGTTCCTCACATCTCTCCCTCTCCACATTTTTTCGTTATCCATTACTCAGGCATGGGGATATACATATATCCTCATGTTCTATAAATAAGTACCTTTTAGATATGGGCATTTTGTGAGGATGGGCATGTAGAAAGTCAGGTTTGCTTCTAAT
The DNA here is from genome assembly GCF_000001405.40 of Homo sapiens. Taxonomy (NCBI): domain Eukaryota; kingdom Metazoa; phylum Chordata; class Mammalia; order Primates; family Hominidae; genus Homo; species Homo sapiens. The sequence goes on along the minus strand of NC_000023.11, from coordinate 80,122,403 downwards.
AGTCAGGAAGAGACTTGGGAGTTTTCCAAGAACACCCCTACCCCCATACAACATCACAAGTAAGACTAATATTTTCTGGGCTCTTCAAATGTGCCAGACACTATTTTAAGTGCTTTATTTACAATGTCTATTTGATTGTTTAGCATCATTACGAAGAAGGTACTACTGTGATTTCCATTTCGTAGATGAGAAAACAAAGGCCTGAAGATATTCAAGTACTATGAACAAGGTTACATAGCTAAGGCATCAGAGAGAAAGTATTGAACATCATGGTGAAACTTTGCATTAGACAATCCTCCTCAGAAGATATCTCACCTAATCATAGGGTTAATCTTATAGGAGAGGGGCCTCAAAAGGATGATTATATCTAAAAAAAAATGACTTACTCAAGATCTTCTAAGATAACAGGATTGACAACTAGCTAGCTACCTGCATAGCACAAGGACTGACTTCTGCTGGACCAATAGTAAAAATGTTGATTTTAAACAGGCTAATACCATCTGTACCTAGATGGGAAAAGAGAAGGTTTATCTGACAGAATTCACTTATTCAACAAATATTTACCAAGTGTCTATTATATATCATCTACTTTCTTAGGTGTTAGGGACACAGGAGGGAACAAAACAGATAAAATCCCTTCACTTATAGATAATATATTCTAGTGATCAGAAACAGGCAATAATATAATAAACTAAATTATACTAGATGTTAGCTGGTGATAAGTGCCATGCAAAGTAAAGCATGGTAAGGAGAATGGGAATATGAGTGGAAGTAGTAATTATAAAGAGCCGTCAGAAAAGACCTCACTGAGAAAGTGACATTTAGCAAAATGAAGGAGCGGGTGCTTGACATGGTGAGAATATATTATGAAAAATAAATGTTAACTATTACTATTGCTTTGTTGTTATATGCCACACCAATTTACATTTTAAACAATGCACTTTTTTCAAAGCTTTTTTAATCGATTACTCCATTAAATTATTACAATATCCCTATAATGTCAGAGGGGCAATCTGCAGCCCTCTTTGAGCAAGAAGAAAACTGAAGTGTGAGGTTAAGTGACAAAGTTAAGTCACACAGTGAGTTAATGGTGGAACCAGAGGAAGAATCTAGAACTGTGCTTTCAAAGTTCTGCATACTTACTACCTTGCTGTGCTTTTGTAGTCTCACCTTTTCCAATGGAGTATACTTAGCTCACATTTCATGTCTGGTTGTTTAGATACGTGCATTTCTAGACACACATGAAAGCTCTTAGGAACAAAAAGAAAGCTCAGTCATGAATTCTTCCTAAAAAATTGAGATAGGAAATCTAATTTCAAGAGGTGAAAGTAGATATGGAGGGATGCAGGCCAACAATTTAATTTTAGAAGTGAGGAAACTGTATCCCAGCGAGGGGAAGTGACTTGCCCCAGTATACAAAGAGATAGTAATAATAAGAAAGCTAAGGTCAGAACTCAGGTTTTCTGAGTCCCCGTACAGTAGTCACTTAACTGTCAAAAAAAAAAAAACCCTAATTATCTCCCCCAGATTCAGCATTTAGGGACGTCAGGGACATTTCTACTGGTGGCCAACAAATTTTGTTTCAAGATAAGAAACTCTGAAAATGAGTTAGCTCAATGTGTGATGCTGAGGACAGAAACAGCCTTCTTAGCACCAGTGCATTTTTTAGATTTAGAACCTAAAAATCATTAGAACCACATATTCAAATTATTGCTGAAAGAGTTCAACCTGATTTTCCCCACAAACCTACATTGGTTAAGAGTACTAAACTAAATAGCTCTCATAAAAGCTTTTAATCACTCTTTGTAAAGAGCTTATTGTGTAATCAGCACAGTACTGAGCACTCCGGATATATAAAAGAAATGTAAAACAGTCTTACTCCTAGATCTGCTCCTGTCTAGTTATGAGACTTTGGCTATGTCCTTATCCTGTTCTAGGGCTAATTTTTCCATAAAGGTATACTAAGAGGAAATAAGAGATAATCTGTATAGCTCTGTCCAGCTGTAATATTTTATGTCTATAAATCCCTAACTGTACATACCTCAAACTGAACTCTTAATCTTCCCCCTCCTCCAAGTCTGCTCCACTCAAAATCATCCCCATCTTAGTTTATGGCACCTCCATTACAGTTGCTCAGAATAAAAACTTTGAAGCCCTCTTTGATTGTTTTTATTCTCAGATCCCACACCCTATCTGTCAGCAAATTACATTGGCTCTACATTCAAATACTGTCCAGATTCTAATATTTCTTACCACTTCCATTACTACCACCCTGGTCCAGCAGTAAACTCTCTTAGGCCAGGATTACTACAATATTCTTCTAACTTCTTTTCCTGCTTCCCACCTTGCCCTCCTTCAGGCTTTTTTTTTTTTTTTTTTTTTTTGACAGAGTTTCGCTTTTGTTGCCCAGGCTGGAGCGCATTGGTGCAATCTCGGCTCACTGCAACCTCTGCCTCCTGAGTTTAAGCGATTCTCCTGTCTCCCAAGTAGCTGGGATTACAAGCATGCACCACCACGCCTGGCTAACTTTTTTGTATTTACTAGAGATGGGGTTTTATCATGTTAGTCAGGCTGGTCTCAAACTCCTGACCTCAGGTGATCCACCCGCCTTGGCCTCCCAAAGTGCTGGGACTACAGACGTGAGCCACCAGGCCTGGCCCAGACTATTCTTAATGCAGCATGAAGAGAGACTTGTTAAAATAAATAGCAGACGAGATCAGGCACATTCAGAATGGTATTTCTTGTTATACGTTTTGGTATTTGGCTACTATCAAAAATTATAAAGTGGACTGTGACAAATATCCTTGGGATGGAAATTTGCACTAATCCCAATGTGAAGTGAAAAGGCATTCAAATATTATAACCTTTAAATTGCACTTAAATCTCTTGAAGTACCTGGCCAAATTTACTTCAGAAAGATTGAACCAATTTACAGTTTTAGCTATGAAAGTCTGAAATTACCCATACTCTCATTAACTCTGGGTAGACATCATTAAAAACAATGGCCAGGCGCAGTGGCTCACACCTGTAATCCCAGCACTGTGGGAGGCCGAGGCAGGCGGATCTCTAGGTCAGGAGATCAAGGCCATCCTGGCTAACACGGTGAAAACCTGTCTCTACTAAAAATATAAAAAAATTAGCCAGGCGTGGTGGTGGTGGCAGGCACCTGTAGTCCCAGCTACTCGGGAGGCTGAGGCAGGAGAACGGTGTGAACCCGGGAGGTGGAGCTTGCAGTGAGCCAAGGTCACACACCACTGCACTCCAGCCTGGGCGATAGAGCCAGACTCTGTCAAAAAAAAAAAAAAAAAAAAAAAAAAAACCTCCACTGGTAAGCGAGAATACTGTTGGTGGTGAGACATTTTCATATTTCATTTTTAAGTAAAAAAGGCAGATTTCACAGTAGCATGTATGTTATAACCCAATTTCAAAAAATAGGTTTATTTGTGTGTGTGTATGTGTATTCAAAATACACATGTCTAATAATTTGCATGTGTATATGTGTGTGTGTATGGGAGTTATGTGACATTGTTAACAGTGTCATTTCTGGATGGTGGGTAGGTATAGATTTAGATCACTTTTATGCTCAGGTTTTTATGTCCAAATACGTCTGCAATAAACATGTATTGTTTTGAATTTGGCTCTTAAAGCTATTTTAATTTCAAATCAACTTTAGCTAAACTGCATTATTTTTATTATTAATATTTTGAGACAAGTTCTCCCTCTCTGTCACCCAGACTGGAGTACAGTGGCTGGATCTTGGCTCACTGAAACCTCGACCCGCTGGACTCAAGCAATCCTCCTGCCTCAGCTTCCCACGTAGCTGGGACCACAGGTGCACACCACCATTCCCGGCTAATTGTTTGTATTTTTGGTAGACACGAGGTTTCACCATGTTCTCCAGGCTGGCCTCAAACTCCTGAGCTCAGGCAATCCCTTCTGCCTCGGTCTCCCAAAGTGCTGGGACTACAGGCATGAGTCACTGTGCCCAGTCCAGGAATAACTGTTAAGAAGAGACTAATGGAGAAAATGAGCAGAAAGAAAGAATTCAGAAATATTATTTTACAAATTAACTGGAGAAATTAGTTACCAGACACTAGCTGCAGCCCTTCTAGTAGCCATTATCTTTCTATTTCAATGTACCTAAATATTTCATATGGGCTCACAAAACGTATGGGCCCCACATTATTTAATTTCAGGGTTCCAAGTGGCCAGAGCCTATCCTGGAAGCTGAGAATGCTAGGAGGGAACCAATACTGGCTGGGACACAGAAAAAGTGGGCTGGAAGATGAATGAATGAATGAATATAAATTATTGTCAAACAAAAATTCATAAGCAATAATCATAGAGATGCACAACTATAACTGATGCAGTAGGAAAGCACTCAACAGTGAGCCCTCTGTATTTGTGGCTGCTTGTTTTTGAAATGCCCTGTGGCAGGAGCTGCTCCTTACACAATTCTGCATTGCAAACATTTATTCCTTAATTTCACCCACTACTTCTAGACCTTACTCTCCTCATTCACCAGAAATTGGGTAAATAATTTTCTTCCTTGTTTTTATTAATCTTTCTTAAATGTATGTATAGCTCACATTTATTTCAATGTTTAGTATCAGAAGTCTTTGAGTCTTAATTTAGAAGTTTGGTAATGTTTTGTGACCCGACATATGCCATAGGAACATAATTCTTATCTCTATCAATTAGCCAACAATAAAATTGGTTTTGTTACATGTAAAATATATATATGTAAATATATATATATATATATATAATTTTAAGTCAGAACATAAAGCATTGTTTGTATTTGTCTGCTGCCTATAGAGGACAGGAGCAGACAGTTGGCTTCTTTATTAGATGGGGAAGGGTAGGTATGCAATAAGGTATAACTTTTTTGTTTTGTTTTGTTTGTTTTTGAGTCAGAGTCTTGCTCTGCCACTGAAGGTGTAGTACAGTGATGTGATCTCAGCTCACTGAAACCTCTGCCTCCCGGGCTGAAGCAATCCTATCACCTCAGCCTCCCAAGTAGCTGAGACCACAGGTGTGAGCCACCACACCTAGCTAATTTTTATATATTTTTTGTAGAGATGGAGTCTCACTATGTTGCCCAGGCTGGTCTTGAACTCCTGGGCTCAAGTGATCTGCCAACTTCGGCCTCCTAAAGTGCTGGGATTACAGGCATGAGCCACTGTGATCACCCCAGGAATAACTGTTAAGAAGAAAATAATGGAGAAACTGAGCAGAAAGCAAGAATTCAGAAATATTATTTTACAAACTAGATGGAGAAATTAGTCACCAAACACCAGCTGCAGCCCTTCCATCAGCCATTATTTTTCTATTTCAGTGTACCTGAGTATTTCATATAGGCTCACAAAACAGTTTTTATTGTTTTATTTATGTTTCACAGGTTTTTAAAAATATATGTTATATCAGACGTAATAAGAATAACTTCTTTTGTTAATGATTTCAAAATATACTATCTTATACTTAAAAAACAAAATAAAATAACATGAAGATGACTTTCAGTTTCAGAGTAAAAGCCAAGATCCTGATAATGACCTCCTAGGCTCTCTGTCCAAGGGACAGAGTGTCCCTGTTATCTCTCTGACCTCATTTTGTACTTCTGTCTGCCTTATTCAACCTGTTCCAATCAAAGAAGCCTCCTCTTTGTTTCTTTTATTTTTTAAAAAAAATAGCTTTATTGCAGTATAATTGATAGATAATTAACTGCAGATATTTAATGTGTACAATTTGATGAGTGTGAACACATCCAAACACCTGTGATACCATCACTACAATCAAGATAATAGACATATCCATCATCTCTCAAAGTCCCTCATTGTTTCTTGAACACACCAAGCTAATTCAAGACTCAGAGTCAGTATATATAGTGTTTCCTCTGACTGAAACTCTCATACTGTGATTTCCAAGTCAGCAGCATCAGCTTTACTTTGGAAATTGTTAGAAATGCAAATTCTCTAGTCCCATCAGAGACCAACTGAATCAAAACCTCTGGAGTTGAGACCTAGAAATGCATGTCTTAACACACTCTCCAGGTGATTATAATGTATGCTAAAGTTTGACAACCACTGGTTTAGACTAAACATTTAATTTAAAATATTAATTTTAACCTTTCTAAACTGTATATGGAATCTATACCTTCACTACTCCATTTATTAGTATAATAAATTTATTACTCCATTTAATTAGTGTAATTACACTAATTAAAATAACATGATAGAGTTTGTTTTAGGTCATAGCATGTTTTTTAAGGACTTGGGCACATGAGATCAATCAGTACTTTTTTACATGACGTGTATTTATTGCAATTTTTATTCAGTTAGTTACTACTACTTTGCTCATCCTCAGTAAGAGGTCTTTGTGTTTTTCATCCCTGTCTTTTCTCAGAATGTTCTTGTATTAGTCCACTGTCATGCTACTGATAAAGACATACCAAAGACTGGCTAATTTATAAAGAAAAAAAGATTTAATGGACTTACAGTTCCACGTGGCTGGGGAGGCCTCACAATCATGGTGGAAGGTAAAAGCCATGTCTTACATGGTGGCAGGCAAGAGAGAGAATGAGAATCAAATGAAGGCGGAGCCTCTTATAAAACTATCAGATCTCATGAGACTTACTCACTACCATGAGAACAGTATGGGAGAAACTGCCCCCATGATTCAATTATCTCCCAGTGGGTCTCTCCCATGACACGTGCAAATCATGGGAGCTACAATTCAAGATGAGATTTGGGTGGGAACACAGCCAAACTATACCATTTCACCCTTGGCCCTTCCCAAATCACATGTCCACACATTTCAAAACCAATCACACCTTCCCAAGTCCCCTAAAGTCTTAACTCATTTCAGCATTAACTCAAAAGTCCACATTCCAAGTCTCATCTGAGACAAGGCAATTCCCTTCTACCAATAAGTCTGTAAAATTGAAAGCAAGTTAATTACTTCCTAGATACAATGGGGGTACAGGCATTGGGTAAATATAGCTGTTCCAAATGGAAGCAATTTGCCAAAATAAAGGGGCTGCAGGCCCCATACAAGTCCAAAATCCAGCTGGGCAGTCCAATCTTAAGGCTCTAAAATGATCTACTTTGACTCCATGCCTCACATCAGGTCATGCTGATACAAGAGGTGGGTTCCTATGGTCTTGGGCAACTTCACCCCTGTGGCTTTGCAGAGTTCAGCCTTCCTCCCAGCTGCTTTCATGGGCTGGCATTGAGTGTCTGTGACTTTTCCAGATGCATGGTGCAAGCTGTCAGTGGATCTACCATTCTGGCGTCTAGAGGATGGTGGCCCTCTTCTCACAGCTCCACTAGGCAGTGCCCCACTGGGGATTCTGTGTGGGGGCTTCGACCCCACATTTCCCTTCTGCACTGCCCTCTCAGAGGTTCTCCATGAGGGCCCCACCCCTGCAGCAAACTTCTGCTTAGACATCCAGGCATTTCCATAAATCCTCTGAAATCTAGGTGGAGGTTCCCAAACCTCATTTCTTGACTTCTGTGCACCCACAGGCTCAACACCATGTGAAAGCTGCTAAGACTTGGGGCTTGCACCCTCTGAAGCCACAGCCCGAGCTGTACCTTGGCCTCTTTTAGCCATGGCTAGAGTGGCTGGGACACAGGGCACCAAGTCCCTAGGCTGCACACAGCAGGGGGCCCTGGGCTGGCCCACAAAACCATTTTTTACTCCTAGGCCTCTGGGCCTGTGATGGGAGGGGCTACCACAAAGTTATTTGACATACCCTGGAGACATTTTCCTCATTGTCTTAGTGGTTAACTTTTGGTGCTTCATTACTTTTACAAATTTATGTGGCCGGCTTGAATTTCTCCTCAGAAAATAGATTTTTCTATTCTATTGCATCATCAGGCAAATGTTTTGAACTTTTATGCTCTATTTCCCTTTTAAAACTGAATGCTTTTAACAGCACCCAAGTCACATCTTGAATACTTTACTGCTTAGAAATTTCTTTCCTGCTTAGAAATTATCTCCCACCAAGTCCCTCTCATGAGCTTAGAAATTTCTTCTGCCAGATACCTTAAATCATCTCCCTCAAGTTCAAAGTTCCACAAATCTCTAGGGCAGGGGCAAAATCCCTCCAGTCTCTTTGCTAAAACATAGCAAGAGTCACCTTTACTACAGTTTCCAACAAGCTCCTCATCTCCATCTGAGACCACCTCAGCCTGGACCTTATTGTCCATATCATTATCAGCATTTTGGTCAAAGCCATTCAGCAAGTCTCTAGGAAGTTCCAAACTTTCCCATATTTTTCTGTCTTCTTCTGAGCCCTCCAAACTGTTTCAACCTCTCCCTGTTAACCAGTTCCAAAGTCACTTCCACATTTTTGGGTATCTTTATAGCAGTGCCCCACTCTACCAGCACCAATTTACTGTATTAGTCCACTTTCTTGCTGCTGATAAAGACATTCCCAAGACTGGGTAATTTATAAAGAAAGAGAGGTTTAATGGACTCACAGTTCCACGTGGCTGCAGAGACCTCACAGTCATGGCGGAAGGTGAAAGGCATGTCTTACATGGCAGCAGGCAAGGGAAAAAATGAGAACAAAGTGGAAGGGGGCACCCCTTATAAAACAGTCAGATCTTGTGAGACTTATTCACTACCATGAGAACAGTGTGGGGGAAACTGCCCCCACGATTCAATTATCTCCCACTGGGTTTATCCCATGATATGTAGAAATTATGGGAGCTACAATTCAAGATGAGATTTGAGTGGGGACACAGCCAAACCATATCAGTTCTTATTAAACCTATGCTATACTCACCTTTGTCTATTCAATTATTATCCAACCCTCAATGCCCACCTCAAATTCTACCTTCTTTTGGAAACAGACTTTGAATAATACAGTTCAGATAAATCACTTTCTTCCTATTTTGTACTCTCATAGCACTTAACATCTGCACTACTGCTTTCTCTAAGAGCATTTTCTAGTTTTCTCTCCTTAGATTGTAAATAAGGGAGAACAGGGTTCATGTCTTATATGTCACACATCTTGCATAACGCTCTAAACACACTATCTGTGGATGTAGATGTACTTACTACACCTCAAATATATTAAAATATTTTCTGGACCAGCAATTCCAGAAATGTCATGACTAAAATTATCTGAACCAAACTTCTGGATCTTAACTCTTCTTGGAAACCGCTTTATCTCAGCACTAAATCATTACTATTTACTGAAAGGGAATTCACAAACCATCAGCAATTCTTTTTCTTGCTTTGGGTTATCCTGCAATACCATTTATGAAACAATTACAAATCCCTGAGTTGAAGCCTAGCTAAAGAAAATGATTAAGAAAAAATCAAGCATATTTGGACTTTATTTGGGTCTAAAGAGGGAAAAGAAGGAAGAATCAATGCTTGCCAAATGGAAGAGAGCAAGTCTTAATTTGGCATGAAGTATTGATAATGACATCTGACTATCAGCATGTGGTAAGAAATGCACCAAGTGATAAACTGTAGCCAACCATAAAGACTGTTTTGCTGGTATAGGCTTGAAGTGAGGCAGTGTTTGGTAGAAGGGGACAGGTTGATTCAGTGCCATCCTTTACTGTAGTACAGATGCTTTAGTGTAGTACAGGGTCTGATTCTACCCTGAGTGTGGTAAATGTCTGGGAACAAATCTCTCTCTGCACCTCTCTAAACCTCAATGTCTAAATCCTCATGAAATTAGGTTGAAATGAAAATTAAGTGCAAGCAGAAAGAATCACAAATAAGTAGCCTGGGGGGACCCAGACAAAGAAGCACTCTCACATTTTGGCCCTGAAATTAGGGGAAGGGTTGTTACGGGATAATGCAATGTATAAATGTACCTTAGTTACTTTTCTGAGCACAAGCTAGGAGTAACTCCCCTTCTCCTACTTAGTTTGCCTCAGTTGCTTTCTGCCATCCTTATAGGGCCAGCAGAGACTGCCCTGGCATCTCTAGGACCAGCTCCAGGGAAAATCAGGACTCAGTAGCACTGAGAACTCTGTAGACTTTCTTTCTCAGAAATGAAGTTTTCTGCTATTTCCTTACAATCTGGCCACAGGATTTAAATATAATTTTATTTTAAATAGTCATATAAATTTTAAAATCTATCTTAAAACAGGTATTTTAAGTAATAAAGATTAACTCAAAATAACAAAGTTTGCTCCAGAATTGCCAATGTGTAACGTTTAGAGTGTACACAAGGGCACGCTAGAACATTTTGCCTGTATTCTCTATCTTGTTTTCAATAGAAAAAGATACAGTTAAAAACTGCAAAGGTTTTTTTTCAAATTTCTTCAGTCTCTACGATCTTACTCCAGCGCCTCTTCACTCTTTCATATCCAACAACCATGAATTTTGCTGAACGTCAAAGATGCTGTACAAAATATTTTATGAGTGGTTCCTATAGTTTCAGTAACCCAATAGAGCAAAATTACTGTAACAAGCTGGTTGGAATGTCTACGTTTCTGTGCTATTTTCAGCCAACAGAAAACTGCTATTTTCAAATAGCAGTTTCTGTGCTATTTTCAGCAGCTATTTCAGATATTGCACAGTAATATCTTGATATATGAATGAAATTGGAGAGCAAATTAAGAACAGTTTGAGATCTTGCAGTTCTTGATTCCCCATATAGTGGTCCTTCCCCCACCACGAAAAACATTGAACATCTTGAAGATCAATTTGCAGACCCATGTCAGGCAGTCATCCTTATGCAGTTATGGCATTTCCTCATGCAGCACTATTGATTGGCATGTGTCTGTTGAAAAAGAAGTATCTTATTTCAAACAAAATACAATTCAGGTGCACATGTTGGAACAAGGCATTTATCTGCTTCAAAATTAACAACCTTCAGTAATTTGATTTGGTTCAACTTATCATTGGTACACATAAGACAAAGAAATGTTGAGTCGAGATGATTAAATGTGACAGGTCTAATTTTTAGGTAAAGAAATAATACTGTAATCCTGACCAAGGAATTAACATACAGTTTCTCAGCAGGCTCCAGGAGAATTTCAAAAGAGAGTCAAACAGAATTAAAAATAGCTTTATCACAAAATATCCCATGAAGAAAAGTTATCTTTATATAAACATCACCAATTGAAATGGGCTTACTCAATTCACTATGTGAAACATAACTTCATTTCTCATGGCACCTGGGAATACTGAGATGGAAATAACTCCCCCTAATGAAGAGCTTGCTATGTGTTTGAGTTTCTTAACAAGATGGTCAGCTGTCTCTTTGGACAAGTTTGGCATTGGGTTACCATTCAGTTTGGCTAAATGAGAGACCTCTCTTTATTTTCAAGCAAACCCTTACATTTTATTATCTGTTTAAAGTGTTGCCTACTATTTATGGAATAAACATTTCCACTTCATTTTAATTTCATATCGTAGGAGAATAATAAAGACAGTACAGTTATTGGTCGCAGCTGTTTCAATGTGCTACATGTAACCTTAAGAATTACGCTGTCAAATCCATAGAGCCAAGGTTTCTCCTATTCCCTTACAATGTGGCCACAAGATTAAAAATGAATTTTATTTTAAATATTCATGTAAATTTTAAAATATATTTAAAACAGGCCTTTTAAGTAATAAAGATTAACTAAAAATAACAAAGTTGTGCTAGAGAATTGCCAAAGTCTAATTAGATACTTTTGGCATTAAATTATAAAACACAAGAAGACTTTTTTTTCCGACTCTGCATTTTTACACTTCGACATAGTACAGAGGTTCATGACTGTGATTACTTTAATGTTAATATTTTTCCAGGATAAGGTGGAAAATTGTTTCTTTTCTCCTTAAAGTATTAAAAGTTTTGTGACATTTATCACATATTGAAATAAAAGGCATCATTGTGCATATCCTTTTTCAATAATAGTAATTATAAATGGAATCTAAGGACGGGTGGAAATGCATAAAAAGAAAAGATTTCTGTAGTACTTTTCCTTTGGCAAACTTGCTAAAAGATATTTACTTCTCCTTTTAATATATAGGTCACTGATGATGCCCTTTATAGAAAGAATCCCTACATTTGAAAACAGAAATCACCAAATGTATATTGCCAGGTATGACAAAAGCACATTATTTCACTGTATTGTCTAACACACCATCTGGACAAATTTAGCAAATAACAAAGAGATACCTTTACCTCTAGATAAGAGATACACTTACTTCTAGGATGTGTTTAGTTTTCTCATTACCAGCTGACAGGCTATCTTGAACTGAGAAGGCAATTTTGAAATGAAGAATGATAACTTAGATTTTAACAAGAAATTAAGTAAGAAATTTTCATGAGAATTTATTCAAGTAAGACTTGCTGAATCAATTTGGAATACACGGAAAAGCAGTAAAAAAGACTAAATCTGGCACAAAAATAAGAGAGTCTATTTATTCATAAACTTGTGGCAAGAGAATCCATCCACCTTCACTTTCATTTCTGCAGGGGTTTAAGAGTGTTAGAAAGGAAGTCAGTTTTATACAGTTTAAAAAGCAATACTGAGACAGTGTCTGGTTGGCAAACATTCTACTAAAATGGGATTTTTTAATTAAGATAAACTTTCTAGTTGGTCCTCAGATACATTTGCGAGTCCTTGGTTGGCTGCAAGGGGACAAGTGAACCATTTGGGAATATTTAAAAAGAGAGAATTGTTCAGTGTTAAGGGTGGAGGGTTTTCTGTGGCTAGATTTTTCCTGGAAAAAGTGAGGATATTTTTATGGAAATGGTCCATATGAGACACTGACTGCCACAGCATGGAGTTTCTCAGATGATTACACCATCACAAGGCCTTATTTCCAATATGATTGAGAAGTGGCTAATGTTCTGTACCAACTGCATTCTAAATGTTTTCACACTTTTTGGCAAGCATGAAATCACAAATTTCACAGAGCCTGGTTGATTCAATACACACACACACACACACACACAGACATACACACACACACACACACTCAGATACACATTCATGTGTGTGCAAATACCATATATATAGAACACCCAGCACTGATCCTTTGTGCTTGAAGAGTTTGTCTAACAATAAACAACTGTATAAATTGGTTATACTGATCAAAATATATCTTTTGGGCTTGGCGAGGTGGCTCACTCTTATAACCCCAACATTTTAGGAGGCCTAGGTGGGCGGATTGCCTGAGCTCAGGAGTTCGAGACCAACCTTGGCAATGTGGAGAAACCCCATCTCTACAAAAAACTACAAAAGATTATCTGAGTGTGGTGGTACACACCTGTGATCCTAGCTACTCAGGAGGCAGAGAAGTGGGAGGAGCCCAGGAGGTCCAAGCTGCAGTGAGCTGGCATGAGCCGCTATAGTCCAGCCTGTGCAACAGAGTGAGACACTGTCTCTCTCTCTCTCTCTCTCTTTCTCTCTCTCTCTCTATATATACATTTTTCGATAAATCCCAGGTAACAAATCATAGCATTATGTGATCTCTAGAGCAAATCATATAAAAAGAAAAACCTATTGCCAAATATATTATTGTAATACAGTTCAACTTCATTATGTCTTATGTCTTTTATAACTTGCAATGCAGGTGCATTTTATTTTGAAAGGACAGTGGTGGAAGTAAAGTAATAATTGGACTAGGCCTTGTGGTTTAGACCCTCTGTTATATCAAAGGTGTCCAAATAATAATTATTGGTGGTTAGTAACTATTTTTAAAATTTCTGTAGCCATTCTTAGACGGTTAGGTGGCATTATTATAATTAGCTGAATTTCAGGAATGAATGTGCCTTTCTCTTCTTATTCGTATAGTTAGGCTAGAGCCTGGCCAACACCCACCACTCCTACCACTTTCCTATTATTAATATTTTATTTTGAATGACAATACCCTATTTTCTCATATATTGTGTTGAAAGACACTGGACAGAGGCTGCCAATTCTATAAAGGGATTTTTTTTAAGGTTTTGATATTTTTTAAATTGGGCCCTGGAGACAACAAACAGATCTCTATTCAACTGACATGAAAAAAGGTGAAAAAAGGAGGGAATAAAATAGGCTGCAACATACCCCACCTCCCACCCACTCTCACCCTCAGGACCTAAAAACTCTAACTGGCTCAAATAGTATAGAATAGTGGTTAAGGATTTAAATCCTAGAGCCAAAAATATCTACATTCGAATTATGGATCTGCTGCCTTGTTAGCCACATAGTCTTGGATTGGTTATTTAATTATCTGTGCCTCAGTGTCATCACTTACAAAAATGGAGTTAAAATGTTAGCAACTATATCTTAGGATTGTTGGGAAGATCAAGGTGAATCAATATATGTTAAGTACTTGAAATCATGACTGGCGTGTAGTACAGTTGACCCTTGAACAACATGGGTTTGAAATGCGCAGGTCCACTTATACACAGATTTTCTTCCAACTCTGCCACCCCTGAGACAGCAATACCAACCTTTCCTCTTCCTCCTCCTCCTCAGCCAACTCCCAGTGAATAGGAAGAAGCCCTTTATGATAATCCACTTCCACTTAGTAGTTAAGTTACAAGAGAGTCAAAGTTATATGCAGATTTTTGACTGCACAGGGGGTCAATACCCTAACCCCTGCATTGCTTAAGGGTAAACTGTAATTTAAAATAATTGAAGTTTAGTTTTTAATTGCATGCATTGTGTTGATGAAATACTAGCTAACATATATTGAACACCTACTACATGCCAGCGTCCTTTCTGAAAGATCACTGCAAACTGGCTGGATTTCTTGTTCAAAGGTGCATGTTCCTGTTAAAGTGGCCTGTTATACATGATTCTCTCCTTCTAGATTCTGGTAATACTTTCTTCCGACATCTCCATGAACCTAAGGATGGTGACAGTCCAGCTGCTTTTTGTTTCTTTTAGACTTGTCTCATCAAGGTTTTTATACCATTTGGGGCTTTTCCAATTGTTCTCAGGATTTTAGTTACATGTCTGCCTGATTACTGGATGCAGGCGCCTAAAAACAATGTGTAAATTCTTGAGAGAGAAGCAGGACCTTGCTGAGTCCAAGATGCATCTCCAGACAGGCTCAGATTTCTGTTCTGCCTGAGGTTTATTTTCTCTACTCTCCCTCTTCCTTAATCCTATAAGGCCTGTGAGCCCAAAATACCTGAGACAGGTCTCAACCTATTTAGAAAGTTTATTTTGCCAAGGTTAAGGATGCACCCATGACATAGCTTCAGGAGGTCCTGAGGATGTGTGCTCAAGGTGTTTGGGGTACCCTTTGGTTTTTATACGTTTCAGAGAGACATGAGACATCAATCAATATGTGTAAGATGTACATTGGTTCAGTGTGGTAAGGCAAGACAACTTGAAGTTGGGGCTTCCTGCTCAGAAGTACATAAGAGACAAAAAGTTACATTCTTTTCAGTCCTTGATCAGCCTTCCACAGAATACACAATTTAGTGTGGCTCAGTGAATCTGCATTTTTATGTAAACAATAGGGCAGAGGAAGCAATCATATATGCATTTGTCTCAGGTGAACCTCAGAGGGATGACTTTGAGTTCTGTCTGTCCTTTGTCCACAAGGAATTTCCTGCTGGGCAAATTGTGAGGGAGGTATTTGGCTTCTTATCTTTGTAGCTATCTTATTTAGGAATAAAATGGGAGACAGGTTTTCCTGACCTAGTTCCCAGCTTGACTTTTTCCTTGGTTTAGTGATTTTGGGGGTCCCTAGAATTATTTTCCTTTTACAGACACACCAAAAGTTTCATATCTTCTTACATAGGAGAAACACAACAACTGACACTAGTACTACCCATTTGTTCATTCACCATTTGCTGAGTGCCCCTTGTGTGTCAGACACCCCAGACTGGCTGACAGTCCAGATATGAAGTAACTATGAATCTCTGCCCTCCCAGAGCTCCAAGCTGTTCAAGGGCTTCCCTATCTTCCTAGCTTTCCTCTGGCTTTCCCTGGCCAGAACCTTAGACAAAGTAAATGGCTGGAACTAGAGAAGGAAAATAAAGATACTCGTGATGGAACTGAACCTTTCTAAGATAACCCCCAGAAATATGATGGTCGTGGAAGTGAAGGAGCTGGTTCAGCCACATACTCTGTTATTAGGCTGCCAGTGACTGGGTCACAACAAGCAATGACGGATAGAAAGCCAGGTCTTCCATTTCTTCCCCAGCATTTTTGAAGGATAAGTTCTGAAAGTCAGAAAAGGAGAAAAAGATACAAGGATACAGTGGAAAAGGAAACAATAAAACATCAGTTTAAGTAATAAACCCTAAAGTATTCTCCAAATTAAAACTAGGACAGATGGAGGCCCACTTTTCTTTTCTGTGCTCTGCTATCTCTATAATAGGTCTTAGCATGATAATAGATGCTCTGGGGCTTTGACAGTAACAATAAGGGGCCAGAGGAGAAATTTTCTGAAAGACTTCTAATGGGGTAAACTCTAATTTAGACGAACAAATGAAAAATGCAAAACAAGAAAGGCAGCTTGAGGATAAAAGAGGGATTGTATTTTATGTATGAGGATCCTCAGATTCTTTTTATCTTCCTAAATAAGATAGTTCTGGGACTTAAGAATTGTCCTATTGTTCTGTGAACCCAAAATATCTGAGACAGGTCCCAACCAATTTAGAAAATTTATTTTGCCAAGGTTAAGGACTCACCCATGACAGCCTCAGGGAGTCATGACAACATATTCCCAAGGTGGTTGGGGCACAGCTTGGTTTTATACATTTTAGGGAGACATGAGACATCAATCAATATGCGCAAGGTGTACATTGGTTCTGTCTGGGAAGGTGGGACAACTTGAGGTTGGGAAGGGGGCTTCCAGGTCATAGGCAGATAAGAAGCAAACAGTTGCATTCTTTTGAGTCTCTGATTAGCTTTTCACTGAATGCACACTTTACATGTGAGGAGAGGGTAGAGGAATAGTCATTTATAACTTAGTCTGGCTTCTTGAAACAATAGGGCAGAGAAAACAAGTAGATATGCATTTGTCTCATACGAGCAGAGGGATGACTTTGAGAGCTGTCTGTCCTTAGTCCCCAGGGAATTTCCTTGTGGGCAAATTGTGAGGAAGGTATGTAACTTTTTTATTTTTGTAGTCATCTTATTTAGGGATTGAATGTAAGGCAGGTTGCCTAATGCAGTTCTTAGTTTGGCTTTTCCCTTTGGCTTAGTTATTTTGGGGTCTCAAGATTTATTTTCCTTTCACATTTCCCCCTTCTTTTTAAAATCTTTTGGAGAAAACATTTTAGAAAAAAAATGTGTCTCTGGTCTCAGATTTTGTCTAATATCTCATGGCTAGGATGGTTTATTCCTAGATGAGTACGTCCCATCTACCCATCTATTAGGAAAGCCCGTTTTTAGCATGTTGTGAAGTCTCATATCCTAGGAAGAGAAGATAGGGGAGGAAGGGAACAACTACAAGCAAATAAAATGAATAACAATCCTGGAAAATAGTTATAGGCCATATAGGCCATATTACTCTGAAGTCCATACATCAGTAGGCAGGTTTGAAAGTGGTTTACATATGTAAACAGATTGCTGTTATTTTTTTCTAAAGTTTATGTTGTCTAGCTTCAGTTCACAGGGCTTTAATAAAGTACAGTTTAATTTTCAGTGATTTCAAAAATAGGAAAAATTGGGGTAGAAAGGAAAAGAAAGAAGGAAAAAAATTTCAGAACATTATTTTGAAAAATTCAAAAACATTATTTTGAAGACTTGTAGCCAAGAAATAATTTTAGAATTCAGTTCAAACTGTAGAAAATAATGAAAATTGAAAAATGTACTATAGATTATTTTGAAACATAATTTTTCTCTCTCTAGTCCCCATATTCACTAAAGACAAATCATAGAACAAATTTATGTGTAAAATAAATGCTATTCTTATTATAGTTGGCCTGAGTATTTGCATAAAATCAGCAAGAATAATTATTTGCCAGATAGGGTTTTTTTTTTAATGATTTTGCTGGAGCTTTATTCTATAAAGAATCTCAGATTAGACTTTAAAGCCTTCAGCCAAGCCTGTGCCTGCAAATATGTGTATTAATTGGTATATCCCTCACCTCAAGGCCCCAAGAAAACTTGGGGCTCCTTGGCCTGTCAGAAAATGACATTCTTTACTTACCATAGGTCAGGAACCTACACAGGGACTGCATATACAAGATATGAGGCCAGCTTTTCCAAGAGCTTTTATTGGCTCTTTATTAAGTCAACCTTGATTTCTTAAAGAAGGGTGGTCTAATCTACTGGCTACCCTGGGCCACATTAGAAGAAGAATTGTCTTGGGCTACACATAAAATATACTAACAAATAGCTGATTAGCTAAAAAAATCACAAAAATATCTCATAATGTTTTAAGAAAGGTTACGAATTCATGCTGGACCACATTCAAAGCCATCCTGGCCGTATGCAACTCACGGGCCATGAATTGGACAAGCTTGCCTTAAAGCAATCTGAAAGTATGCCATTCCAGTCAAAGCATTGGTAAAATAACCAGTGTCTGCAATTGTGTCCTGTTACAAAAGAAAACAGATTCTTGTTGAACTTAGGCAAATAACTATATTGCTATAAATTAAGTATACTTGCAAATAGTTTTTAAATTCTGGAGAAATTACATAAAGAAATATGCTTTAGATTTTGCTCACAGGAGTGTAGTTTACCCAGCTGTTAAAAGCTCAGAGAAAAAGGGTTTCTGGACTCAGAAACAAAAGAATTAGCAATGTTTCAAACAAAGTCAGAAACAGATTATTTCAATCTTCCATTAGTTTAGTCTATGTAATTAACTCCTATTCTGCTCAATATTTATGAACACATTAGCTCTCTATGGAGTCTTGGAAGTTTTTTCTATACGCTAGTGCCACAATCTCTAAAGTTATCAGAAACCTACATTTAAAAGCACCTGTCAGAGTCTTATAGCTGATTATAAAAACACCTTTTGAAAAGGATAAAAGTAAAACAACTGTGGATGACAAGAGTCTTAGAACAGTGATGGTTAAAGACACAAATTACAAGGAAATTTGGTTACTTCTGAGTTATACAACAATTTTACATTATAATCATAATTACTACTGATAACATTTACTAAGACACATTAGAATCACAGGAATCTCATACAATTCTGGAACACATAATAATAACACATTTATATAAATATAATCCAAAGAAGGTTAAACATAATTTCGTATTTGACAATACTTTCTATATAATTTTATTATGTCAAATAAACTGAATATGTCTCTTTTGGATTTCAGAGGACACAATATGAAAAATATTAATGAGGACCAAAGTTAGACTTTGATTTTGGAAAGATTGTCAAATATAAAAAGTTTAAAACTCTTGATGTTACAAAATAGGATCATAGGTCATTATAAAAGAAGTCATTCATTTAACCAAAGTGATAACACAAAGATTTCAAAGAAAGGCAAAAACATTTATTCTTTGAGAAAGGAGACTTAATTTTCCCCAAAAATAAGCCCCAATAAAGACTGTATGAGGCCAGTTAAATCTGTCTTTTAAGATTTTATTTAAAAATTTATTAAATTTTAATCATTCTATACCATAAGATATAATTTCCATAAACCTTTTTATAAGCTTTATAACCTTTTATTAAGGAGTGAGTTAATGCTCCAAGAAAATCTTGTTAATCTGACACAGGGACCTAGATGCTGGTCTTGGATCAGTATGCCTTTGATATTAATGGTTAATTTATAAGGAAACTGAACAAATTTTATCTCTGAAAATTGCCCTTACAATCTAATGTGCCCACTTCTTCTGCAATAGTCCCCAGGCCTTGAAGAATTGCATAGTTTTAATTTCTGGCCCTGTGTCTCATGAATGCAGTTTATTTTGATTAGCATGTTCTACCAAGTCTGAAGGTGAGGCTTTAAGTGCTGTCAGTGTTTAAGATTTCACAGGACTTGGTGTCATTTTTAGACCCAGGAGTCAAAGTCCATAACTTAATGGCACAATTACTTAAAAGCAAAATACAGAAAGTTACATGGATGTAATAACCTTAATTAAAATTTTTCTAATCTCTGTTTTTTTCTAAGCAAACCAAAACTTAATAATAATGACACAGGAATTATTTCAACAAAATGTAAAGTGTATTTTTTAAGCCAGTTACCAAAAGGAAAAAGAAAAGATCTTCTGCAGTGTAATTGCTGTTCCCATGGGGAATCCATTTAGATAATCTGCAAGTCAAAACTAATGAAAAAGATACTTGAATTGGTTAGACATAGGAAGAGTGTTTCCTACATAATAAGTGAAAAATTTCAGATTCATAGAACAATTTAAAGCCAAGAGTACAGAATATTATATTGGAAGAAAGCATTTCCTTTAGACTTTTAAGATACAACATTTTTAGCATTAGGCCACAACAAACAGAACCTAAGGAAAAAAAAACTTATAGGAGCTGAGAAGGCATTAAAGGAGAGAGTTATTTCAGCCCTTCTAAAAGGGGAGAGAAAGCTAAAACCAGTAAGACTCATTAAAAGTTGAACTTTGGGTTAAAAAAATTAAAATATTGTAATTTTAATGAGTAAATCAATATCTAAAAAATTATCGTTCTACCCAATTCTTTAGTGTATGAATATCTTTGTTTTAAATATCAAAACCCAATCTCTAAAAATACCAAAATAAGTAACTTTCCTTTAATTATAGACAATTTGATCATATAAAGCTGTTTTCAGTAAAAATCCTCTTTTTACAAAACTTATTACAACTTAAGCATGTCATTCATGACCTGCTTAGACTTTTTGGCTTGTTCTAAACATTCCTCTTTCTTAAACAACTAGCCATTTTATTATAAGACAAAAATTTACCATACAAGATTCTTTCTCATATAAAATTATTTTCCTCTTAACCTATTTTGCTAAAAATACCTATTTATAACTTTATGTACATTGATTTTATTTACTGGTTACCTTTACCTTGTTTTATAAATAACTTTTAAATAACCATTGAATTAGACAAAAATTTATTTTCCTTTAAATTAGAACACATTTCTTTTTTTATAAAAATGTTTCCTTGTAATATAATTTTTAATAATAAGAAATGACCCAGACATTTAATGAATATGTATTATTTAACTTAATATAATTTTACCTTTTAAATTATATGGCAAGTTTATTTGCAAGTATTCATTTGATTATATTTATTAGGTTGGTGCTAAGGTCATTGTGGTTTTTGCCATTACTTTCAATGGCAAAAACTGCAATGACTTTTGCACCAACCTAATACCTAATTAATTAATTTTTTAAATAGTTTATCCAGATTACTTATGAAAACTGTGACAGTTATCATTTGAAGTTATTTCCCTGTTAAGCATTTTTATAAACTGTGAATTGCAGGATTTCCCAAGTGAGAACCTTAAAGTTAAATAAATGGTTTCTTTTTTTGCCAATAATTCAGAATTTAACTGTTTTTATTAACTGGACAATATTAAATGTCTTATTTATAAAATTTACACAAACAAACATAATTTTCCTTTGGGCTGTATTCATAGCTTGATAACTCTCATGCCAAATCTTGACATCTAGTAGAGATAAATATAAAACCACTTTACCAATAAATCTAAACAATAATGTATGTTGACAATTCTGAAGTCATTTCTAATTCTATTTCATTAATACATTTTAAACCAGCTTATTTATTAAAAATTTACTTAAGCCACATGAACTTGAAAAAGCATTTGGCATAAAGTCTCTTATTTCTGATAAAGTATTTGATATAAGTGCTTTTCTTTAAGCCAATTAATTAGCACTGTTTTATATATTTAATAGTGAAACATCATATACACAACATATAAATACATAGATGTATTAAACAGGCAGATAAAAGTAGATCTTGTAAATTCATAAGATCTATTATTTTCTCCTCTTTAAGACTTCCAATTTCTTAATAAACTGTTTCATTACCCTGGACAATTGTCATCTAGATAGCCCTAAATTTGCTTATTAAAGGAACAACTCCTAGGGGAAAAATGTGTGAAAATTACAACTCAAGGTACAGAGAAAAAGAGTCTGGTGCTACTAGAGGGAGATAAAAAACGGATGCCAAGTCAAACATAAAATTATAGAACTCTGTCATAGGATTGTATAGGGAGACCAATTTTATTTTAGATAGGTAGTTCTAAATTTAGTCTCTGTCTTTTAACTGGGTCTCTGAGCTCAGGGCAGAGCCCACACTGAATCCTGGTTCTCCAGAAACAGAGAACTATTATGGGGCTAGACCACATGGTGCTTTTACAGTCTACTTTTTTTTTAAGAAAGACATTTCTCTAAGTGTCTACATTACACTCTTCTTTACCTTAAACACCCAAGAGTAACCCTGTTATAATAACTATTTTAGTCAAAAAAAAAAAAGAAAAAAGAAATCAGGTAAGATAATACAAAAGTAAGCAGCTTAAGATCTGAGAAGAAGTTGTCTGTTTATGCTCTTGAGGTTCCATAAAAAAAAAAAAAAAAAGAAACAGAGGTTTCTCCCCAAAAGGGAACCTGGTGCCTTCTCCATTTTCTTTAAGGAATACCAGACTGTTGCAAACTATTTTAGGTCCCTCATGTAAACCTAGGAGAAAGGAGAGACAGCAGAAGTAAATGGAGAAAACTCATTCAATCAACTGAGACAGGAAAAAAAAATTCATCAAAAAAGCTAAGGTCCTAGGAGAGAGAGAAAAAGCAAAGACCATATATATATACACACACATATATATATGCTACATTAATACATAATATATATTTTATATGTTATAAAATATGTTAAATATTTTGCATATATATTATATTAAATATAAATATAATATATATACTCGGTATACTATGTATAAAATATATAATATATATAAAATATATAACTATTATATATGTTATATATCTTATATATAAGATATATAACTATTATATATGTTATATATCTTATATATAAAATATATATAAAGCCTTTTATATACCAAATATATTATATTTATATTATATTGTAATTAACATTATAGTAAATATAACTATATAGTATATAATATATATTTATATATATAAAAGGCCTTTATGGTTTTTAAATTTTATTTTATTATTATTTTTTGAGATAGAGTCTCAGTCTGTCATCCAGGTTGGAGTGCAGTGGCGCAATCTTGGCTCACTGCACCCTCCACCTCCTGGGTTCAAGCAATTTTCCTGCCTCAGCCTCCCAAGAAGCTGGGATTGCAGGCACATGGCACCACACCTGGCTTATTTTTGTATTTTTCAGTAGAGACGCAGTTTCGTCATGTTGGCCAGGCTGGTCTTGGACTCCTGACTCCAGTGATCCACCCACCTTGGCCTCCCAAAGTGCTGGGATTACAGGCGTGAGCCTCCTTGCCTGGCCACACACCACACACGCACACACACACATCTTGGATGTTAGCTTTCAATCAAGCTGACTTTTAACCGTCGAGCTCCCTTAAAAAAATTATCTTAAATCTCATTACCGTATTTTCACTAGGACAAATTGCTGATATTTCAAAAGCAACACAAATACCAAACCAGAAAGGGCTTGATTTAGGAACAAAACCCAGGCTGTGGTGGTGAAAAAATGGGGTGGGAGGCAGAACCTTAGCTATGGGGCAACAGCCATTGCTCTTTCAGTTTAGCTTAACTAGCAAAAGGCGGCCTTGTTATGTAAATAAAGTCCATTAGGTAGTCAAAATAAAAAATATTTCCTTGGGGTGCAGTGGCTCATGCCTGTAATCCCAGCACTTTGGGAGGCTGAGGCAGGTAGATAACCTGAAGTCAGGAGGTCGAGACCAGCCTGGCCAACATGGGGAAACCCCATATCTACTAAAGATACAAAATAAGCCAGGCATGGTGATGTGTGCCTGTAATCCCGGCTACCTGGGAGGCTGAGGCAGGAGAATTGCTGGAACCTGGGAGGCGGAGGTTGCAGTGAGCTAAGATTGTGCCACTGCACTCCAACCTGGGGCACAGAGCGAGACTCCGTCTCAAATAAATAAATAAATAAATAATTCCTTTTTTTTCCCTTTTGCTGCCTGGATTTTCTTTTTCCCCTCTTTTTTCTTTCAGTTGCGGGAATTTAGCCAATTCAGAGTCCTTGAGGCCTTGTTTCACATAATTTGGAACTTTCCTTCAAATTTAATCAAGTCAGATAGAGTTGGTCAAACCCAATGGGAAAAAGATCAGAACAAAAACAAAAACATACAACACACAACAAACAACAATTACGCAATAGGATTACTAAGCACTTTAATGGTAAGGAGAAATTAAGACTAACTGGTTATTAATCTTTGCTTTAGCCAAGAGAAAACTCCAACTCAGCTACTTACCTAGGAATGGGTCTCAGGCTGCTACTATCCTAGAAGCAGGAAAAAACTCAAACTTGCCTTCCCTGTTGGAAGGGAGCTGAAACTCCAAAAAGCAATTACCTGTCTTTCATCATGGAAGAAGGAAAACTTGCCTTCCTTGTTGGAAGCAAATGAAACTCCAAAAAAGCAGTTGTACAGCAAAATAAACTTTAGATCTTGACCAAATTCTGGTAGATCAGGGATTCTCTTGTGGGGGCGGGGGCTGCAAGGCCTCAGCAAATTATCCTGTTGGTTTGAGCTATCATGATAGCTGAAGCTGGCACCAAGCACATATAGATTTGTCAAAGATCAGGGGCCCCTCTACTCAGAATACCTTTGTGGCTACCAGTTTGTGTATCCAAAATATCTGAGACAGGTCTCAGTCAATTTAGAAAGTTTACTTTACCAAAGTTAAGGACACACTCATGACACAGCCTCAGGAGGTCTTGAAGACATGTTCCCAAGGGGGTCCAGGCATAGCTTGGTTTTATACATTTTTTTTATTATTATACTTTAAGTTCTAGGGTACATGCACACAATGTGCAGGTTTGTTACATATGTATACATGTGCCGAGTTGGTTTGCTGCACCCATAAACTCATCATTTATATTAGGTATTTCTCCTAATGCTATCCCTCCCCCAGCCCCCCCACCCAACAGGCCCTGGTGTGTGATGTTCCCTGCCCTGTGTCCAAGTGTTCTCATTGTTCAATTCCCACCTATGAGTGAGAACATGCGGTGTTTGGTTTTCTGTCCTTGCAATAGTTTGCTCAGAATGATGGTTTCCAGCTTCATCCATGTTGCTACAAAGGACATGAACTCATCCTTTTTTATGGCTGCATAGTATTCCATGGTGTATATGTGCCACATTTTCTTAATCCAGTCTATCATTGATGGACATTTGGGTTGGCTCCAAGTCTTTGCTATTGTGAATAGTGCTGCAATAAACACACATGTTCATGTGTCTTTATAGTAGCATGATTTATAATCCTTTGGGTATGTACCCAGTAATGGGATCACTGAGTCAAATGGTATTTCTAGTTCTAGATCCTTGAGGAATGGCCACACTGTCTTCCACAATGGTTGAACCAGTTTACACTCCTACCAATGGTGTAAAAGTGTTCCTATTTCTCCACATCCTCTCCAGCATCTGTTGTTTCCTGACTTTTTAATGATTGCCATTCTAACTGGTGTGAGATGATATCTCATTGTGGTTTTGATTTGCATTTCTCTGATGGCCAGTGATGATGAACATTTTTTCATATGTCTGTTGGCTGCATAAATGTCTTCTTTTGAGAAGTGTCTGTTCATATCCTTTGCCCACGTTTTGATGGGGTTGTTTGATTTTTTCTTGTAAATTTGTTTGAGTTCTTTGTAGATTCTGGATACTAGCCCTTTGTCAGATGGGTAGATTGCAAAAATTTTCTCCCATTCTGTAGGTTGCCAGTTCACTCTGATGGTAGTTTCTTTTGCTGTGCAGAAGCTCTTTAGTTTAATTAGATCCCATTTGTCAGTTTTGGCTTTTGTTGCCATTGCTTTTGGTGTTTTAGTCATGAAGTCCTTGCCCATGCCTATGTCCTGAATGGTATTGTCTAGGTTTTCTTCTAGGGTTTTTATGATTTTAGGTCTAACATTTAAGTCTTTAATCCATCTTGAACTAATTTTTGTATAAGGTGTAAGGAAGAGATCCAGTTTCAGCTTTCTACATATGGCTAGCCAGTTTTCCCAGCACCACTTATTCAATAGGCAATCCTTTCCCCATTGCTTTTTTTGTCAGGGTTGTCTAAGTTCAGATAGTTGTAGATGTGTGGTGTTATTTCTGAGGGCTCTGTTCTTTTCCATTGGTCTATATCTCTGTTTTGATACCAGTACCATACTGTTTTGGTTACTGTAGCCTTGTAGTATAGTTTGAAGTCAGGTAGTGTGATGCCTCCAGCTTTGTTCTTTTTGCTTAGGATTGTCTTGGTAATGCGGGCCCTTTTTGGTTCCATATGAAGTTTAAAGTAGTTTTTTCCAATTCTGTGATGAAAGTCATTGTTAGCTTGATGGGGATACTCTTGAATCTATAAATTACCTTGGGCAGTATGGCCATTTTCACAATATTGATTCTTCCTATCCATGAGCATGGAATGTTCTTCCATTTGTTTGTGTCCTCTTTTATTTGTTGAACAGTGGTTTGTAATTCTCCTTGAGGAGGTCCTTCACATCCCTTCTAAGTTGGATTCCTAGGTATTTTATTCTCTTTGAAGCAATTGTGAATGGGAATTCACTCATGATTTGGCTCTCTGTTTGTCTGTTATTGGTGTATAAGAATCCTTGTGATTTTTGCACACTGATTTTGTATCCTGAGACTTTGCTGAAGTTGCTTATCATCTTAAGGAGATTTTGGGCTGAGACGATGGGGTTTTCTAAATATACAATCATGTCATCTGCAAACAGGGACAATCTGACTTCCTCTTTTCCTAATTGAATACCCTTTATTTCTTTCTCCTGCCTGATTACCCTGGCCAGAACTTCCAACGCTATGTTGAATAGGAGTGGTGAGAGAGGGCATCCCTGTCTTGTCCCAGTTTTCAAAGGGAATGCTTCCAGTTTTTGCCCATTCAGTATGGTACTGGATATAGGTTTGTCATAAACAGCTCTTATTATTTTGAGATACCTTCCATCAATACCTAATTCATTGAGAGTTTTTAGCATGAAGGGTTGTTGAATTTTGTCAAAGGCCTTTTCTGCATCTATGATGATAATCATGTGGTTTTTGTCTTTGGTTCTGTTTATGTGATGGATTATGTTTATTGATTTGCATATGTTGAACCAGCCTTGCATCCCAGGGATGAAGCCAACTTGATCTTGGTGAATAAGCTTTTTGATGTGCTGCTGGATTCGGTTTGCCAGTATTTTATTGAGGATTTTCACATCAATGTTCATCAGGGATATTGGTGTAAAATTCTCTTTTTTGTTGGGTCTCTGCCAGGGTTTGGTATCAGGATGATGCTGGCCTCATAATTAGGGAGACATGAGACATCAATCAATATGTATAAGGTGTACATTTGTTCCATCCAGAAAGGCAGTACAACTGGAGGCGAGGGAGGGGGCCTCCAGGTCATAGTTAGATATAAGAGGCAAACAGTTGCATTCTTTTTAGTCTCTGATTAGCTTTTCACTGAATACACACTTTACATGTGCAAGGAGTGTAGAGGAATAGTCATTTGTGCCTTAGTCTGGCTTAGTGAAACAATAGGGCAGATGAAGCAAGCAGATAGGCATTTGTCTTACATGAGCAGAGGGATGACTTTGAGTTCTGTCTGTCTTTTGTGCACAAGGAATTTCCTTGTGGGCAAACTGTGAGGAAGGTATGTAACTTTTTTTATTTTTGTAGTTATCTTATTTAGGGATTGAATGGAAGGCAGGTTGCCTAACGCAGTTCTCAATTTGACTTTTCCCTTTGGCTTAGTGATTTTGAGGTCCCGAGATTTATTTTCCTTTCACAGCTCAAAGCTTTATTCATATCCCCATCCCACCTTATATAACTTCATCCTTTTAGTTCAAGAATTGCATTGTGTTATATGCAGAACTCAGCTTCTCTCTACAGACAGACCTAGGTTCTATTCCCATTGAGCCACAGAAAAGATAGGATGCCAAGTCATTTAATGATTCTAAGATTACTTTTCTTTATCAGCAGAATGCTAATACTATAGTCTGTTCAGGGTTGCCTGAGGAATGCATATCTAATATATATGAAGAGCTAAGCACAATACCTGTCATATAGCAGATGCTCATGTTGGGGCATTTCTCTGCCTTCCTTCTCTTCTGCTAAATCCACTTCTGAGCCGTGAGTGCAAATACATGACAAAAAATCGGTTCAGAAATGTGAAAGAGGTCCCAGCTCAAAAAGCCTGAAAACACAGAGGATCTTTTAGAATTTTGCCAAGGGGCTACCCAGAATCTGGACTTTAATCCCTTTATTCCCCAACTCTCAAGTCCCTGCACAATTGGATTTTGCCTACTTAGTGTTTTCTGTGTAGATAGCACTTTACTTTATTACTAAAGCATCACTTGTTCTCTTTTTGTATGTTGGGATAAACTTTTGTTTTAATCCTGTAAGTGGAGCATCTAAACTTTTTCTTGTGATTAGAAATGAATACGTTTTTTCTGCCTGTCAAAGCCAATCAGTAAGAAAACATACCTTGGAGCAGCATTGTTCTAGGATTTATTCTATATAGCTGTGAGAATCAGATTTCTAGAAGGTCTGTAACCCTCTAACCATTGCCCCAAAAAGAGAAAAGAGAAAGAAAGAGAGAGAGAGAGGAAAAAGAAAGGAAGGAAGGAAGGAAGGAAGGAAAGAAGGAAGGAGAAAAAAAAAAGCTGGTGGCTTCAAAGAACCTTTCAGAGAAAATAGTTATCAGGTTAGAGTGGGCAAGCTTCTTCTGGATAGATGAAGTCCAGGACCATTCTGAGAGTCCAGCAGTTTCCTTCTCCAAAGGAGCACAGACCAGCTACTTGAGGTATCACTTTAAAAAATATATTTAATGTTAATAAATACTAAATGTTTTCTGTGAGCCAGGCATTGTTCTAAGTTCTTTATATATCTCATCACATATATTCCTCCCAACAATTCTATGAGATTTGTTCTACTAGGCCCATTTTACATATGAGAAAAGTAAGACACAGGGAGTTTAGGTAACTTGCTCAGGGTCACACAGTTAGGTAATGGAAGGGAACTGGTAATTTGAAATCAGGTCTGACCTGAAACCAGGACAGACTTAAAGTCTGTATTTTTAAGCACTATTCTCTACTGCCACCAATACATTCCTCTACAAATTTGTGAATCTTCGTGCCCTATCCCTAAATTTGCAAATATCTTTGAAATGTATATTACATGATCCTTATCAGTTACTGCCATCTCCATTTGTGAGTTTCAAATACTTTTTTCAATTCCTTTCTTCATTTGCTAAACATTTACTGAGCACTTACTTGGCACCAGGCATTCTAGGTATTTAGGGTATTAAAATAAAAATAAGATACATATACAGCTTTCTAAGAGCTGACAGTTTAGTCATCATGTGTCAAAGAATGAGTTTGATTTGTTGGGGGCAAGCAGGAATATATTGATAAGAAAGATTTTCTGTTTTTTCATCTATGTATCCCAACCCCTAGATCAGTGCTTGCCACAGAGTACGTACTCTAAGTAAATGAATAGATAAATGAAATGGGGCACTGAAGTCAAGGCTTATCACCTTTCTAGTTCTGCAAGAAGTCCTGATGACAGATGTCATGGGAAAGATTGTAAGGTCTTAGGCCCTTGAAGAAGTTCCAAGAAAGCAGTTTCCCCCACAGATCTTGAGACAAACAACAAACAGTGCCCTCTGAGCAGCCTGTACCTGGTACAGTGACAAATCAAAAAATGAAACAAGAAATGAAAGAAGTACATTCTGCCTGTCAAACATGTCTAAGACCCACATGGAGTTTAATTCACCACTCTTGGCTAAGCAGTGTGGTCAGTGGTGAAGTACCTGCTTAATTTCCTATGTAGGCAAAATGGTTGACCACATAAGATATAGTAGGACATACTATAAGAATGCCAATCTGCAATTGTGTCTGCTCAAAGATATGACCACTACCTTACCCCTTATTTAATCCCCAGAACTGATTGGCCTGCCACAGTGCTTGAAATTCCTACTCCTTTGCTTTAGTGCAGTGGTTAAAATTAAAAAAAAAAAAAAAAACCCTATGGTGAACCAGATCTTAACAAGAGCTATAAATAAGAAACTACCTAGAAGTATGAGGCATTAGCCAAGCACAATTTGAATGAGTAAGGGAGAAAGTTAGCCCTGAATATACCTGAATATACTAAGACCAAGGTTAGGTATGACATCCCAGTAAGCTGGGTGAGAGCTTGACCTAACTAGCCTCAGACATCTCATGCATTTTGAATTCTCAAAAACAGTTTGTTCAGAACCCTCCCAGGCTGTTTTTTCATTTTCTTTTTTTTTTTTTGAGACGGAGTCTTGCTTTGTTGCCCAGGCTGGAGTGCAGTGGTGGGATCTCAGCTCACTGCAAGCTCCGCCTCCCGGGTTCACGCCATTCTCCTGCCTCAGCCTCCCGAGTAGCTGGGACTACAGGCCCCCACCACCATGCCCGGCTAAGTTTTTGTATTTTTAGTAGAGACGGGGTTTCACCGTGTTAGCCAGGATGGTCTCGATCTCCTGACATTGTGATCCGCCTGCCTCGGCCTCCCAAAGTGCTGGGATTACAGGCTTGAGCCACCGCACCCGGCCTGTTTTTTCATTTTTAATTCCACCTTCCACATACGAAGCCCTGGAGCATATATACAACTCACTGTTCACATGTCTTGGACAGTCCCAACAAGCTTGTTAAGATGGTATATCCAATAGCTGTTTATATAGAAAAAAATTTTCCGCCATAAGAAAGTATACCAGGATTGTGTTAAGTGATAGGATGGATTCTGCCACTGAAGTCTGGGAGTACCATTATCTCTGTGGAGTGGTACACACATACATCAGGATACTTCTTGGTTACTGACAAAGTGATTTATGAAAGAATATATATACATATACAGTCATGTGTTGCTTAACCACAGGAATACATTCTAAGAAACATGTTGTTAGACAATTTTGTCATTTTTAGAACATCATATGGTGTACTTACAAAAACCTAGATGGTATAGGTATAGCCTTCTATACACCTGGGCTATATGGTATAGCCTATGGTTCTTAGGCTACAAACCTGTACAGCATATGACTGTACCTAATACTGTAGGCAACTGTAACACAATGGTAAATATTTTTATATCTAAATGTATCTAAACATAGAAAAGGTACAGTAAAAATATGGTATAAAGGATTTAAATAATGACACACCTGTATAGAGCACTTACCATGAATGACGCTTGCAGGACTGGAAAGTTGCTCTGGGTGAGTCAGAATGAGTGGTGAGTGAATGTGAAGGCCAATGACTTTACTGTACACTACCATAGACTCTATAAACACTGTGCATACTTAGGCTGTATGAAATTTACTAAAAACATGTTTTTCTTCAATGAAAAATTAACCTTAGTTTACTGTAACTTTTTTACTTGATAAAACTTTTATTTTCTTTAACTTTTTGGTCTTTTTGTAATAACACATTTTTTAAAACACAAACACACTGTACAGCTGCACAATATATTTTATTTATATTCTTTCTCAATAAGTTTTTTTCTATTTTTATTTTTTTTTACTTTTTAAACTATGTTGTTAAAAACGAAGACACAAATACACACATTAGCTTAAGCCTGCACAGGGTCAGGATCATCAATATTACTGTCTTCCAGTGCTACATCTTCTCTCATTGGGTCTTCAGGGGCAACAACACACATAGAACTATTGTCTCCTATAACAATGCCTTCTTCTGGAATACCTCCTGAAGGACCTGCTGAAGATGCTTTATAGTTAAAGTTTTTAATAAGTAGGAACACACTCTAAAATAATGATAAAAATGTAGTAAACACATAAACCAATGACCTTGTAGTATCTTTTTTTAAATTTTATTTATTTATTTATTTATTTATTTTTTGAGACAGAGTCTTGCTCTGTCGCCAGGCTGGAAAGCAGTGGCATGATCTTGACTCACTGCAGCCTCTGCTTCCTGGGTTCAAGAGATTCTCCTGCCTCAGCCTCACAAGTAGCTGAGACTACAGCACGCCACCACACCCAGCTAATTTTTGTATTTTTAGTAGAGACGGGGTTTCACCATGTTGGCCAGGATGGTCTCGATCTCTTGACCTCATGATCTGCCTGCCTCGGTCTCCCAAAGTGCTAGGCTTACAGGCATGAGCCACCGCACCCCGCCGACCTTGTAATTTCTTATCATTATCGAGTATTATGTGGTATACATAATTGTATGTGCTATGCTATTATATGACTGTTAGTGCAGTAGGTTTGTTTATACTAGCATCATTGCAAACACATGGGCAGTGTGTTTGAACACTGGGACATTACATCAACTATGATGTCATTAGGCAATAGGAATTTTTCTGCTCCATTATAATCCTATGGGACCACTGTCACACATGTGGTTCATACATACACTGGTTATTTGGTGCATGACTATATATGTACGAATGTGTGTGTGTGTGTGTGTGTGTGTGTTCTCTTACAGAGATGAGGATGAGTATGAAGGCATCATTGAAACATAAGAAATATATAAATACGACTTTGCCAACTGAGTCGCAAAGCATATACTTTCTTTCCCAAAATGAAGAAAATGGTTTTATGTATAAAAACGTAAATAGGTCATATGCAATTAAACTTCTGCTTAATAAGCCCATGTAAATTCTTAATAAGTCAGTGGACCCATGACGTTTTTTGAGCAATATACTTGGTCACAATCTATCTGCTGAAAGAGAGTTAAATCAACTGATGTAATCATATGCATTTGTCTTCTTATCATTTTGAATTATTGAAAATCATTGCCTTAAGAATAAAGATGCTATTTTTTGAACCCATTAACCATCCCTACTTCCCTTGCCAGCCTCCCCACTACCCTTCTTAGCCCCTGATAGCCATCCTTCTACTCTCTGTGTACATGAGTTCAATTGTTTTGTGTTTTGATTTTTAGATCTCACAAATAGGTGAGAACATGTGGTGTTTGTCTTTCTGTGCCTGGTTTATTCCACTTAACATAATGATCTCCAGTTCCGTACATGCTGTTGCAAATGACAGGATTTTTTTATGGCGGAATAGTACTCCATTGTGTAATTGGATTGTTTGTAACATAAAAGATAAATGCTTGAGGGGATGAATACCCTACTCGCCACGATGTGATTATTTTTCATTACATGCCTGTATCAAAACATCTCATGTACCCTGTAAGTATATACACCTACTATGTATTACTACCCACAAAAATTAAAATTAAAACATTTTTAGAAGATGCTGAGTAATATTAATACATTACATTTCTACAGTTTTTTATAGTTTAGTAAGCACATTGATGTATATTATCTCATATAATCCTGCTGAACTCCCTCTGAAATAGTTACTGTCCTATTTTACAGCTGAGGAAACTGAAAATCTTAGTTAAGTGACTTGCTCATTGTTTGTTAAAGCAGGGCCATGCTTGAGCCCAGTTCTTCTGGCTATAATACAAAAGCTTTAGCCACTTTATTCTTGTTATGGAAAACCTTTACTTTTGTCCATTGGTAACAATGATATTTCAAACACTTCGGTAAAATTCCATAAATACATTATGCCATGTAACATTTTCTTAAATAGCAAATCTAAGAAACTGCCTTCTGGAAAATATCATGAAGCAGTTATATATTTTCCTATATTGGAATGATTTGAAGAGCAAGGTCAAGAGAGAGTGAGCAGTTCATTTGGTTAATATGGTTGCTAAGGCAATAGGAGTCTTTCACTTTTTATCTTTTTGAAAATCAAATGCTTGGAATGAACACCACAGTTAAACAGGTGCTGAATTGATGCCAAAAGCTAGTGTGCCTGAACATAGCATTTGTTTGAGTCTTTTTTTTTTCTGAAGACAAAATGCCTTTTACAGAATCCTCAAATTAATTCAGCAGCCAAGTAGTATGAGAAATGTCATAATTTTGTAGGTAATTCGCTGGGAAAGGCACTGTATTATAGACCTAGGAAGACGGCATTCCTGGAAAATCTCCAGTGGCATTCAGCAGAAAGCTATTCCAAGAAACCTTGGGTTATTCTGTCCACCACAGTTTACCTCAGTTTCCCATCTGTACAATGATGGATGGACTTTGCTAAATAACATATAAAGAGCCATTATAACTCTGATATCCTGTAGTTCTTTGAAATTCAATCAACTGTCTTACTGAAGATATTTTTTCTTTGGTTCTAAAAAGTACCCAACATTTATGCCTATCAAAATTCAATCTGAAAATTCAGAAGAGGTGAAAGAATAGAGCTCTTTTTGACCAAGGCAGAGATGTCATTAACCTTGCATCAGTTCTGGTCCTTAAATTTAATTGGGAGCACCTGAACCTTAGATCAAGCCAGGCAGTCTACTCCTGACTCTTACTAACTCTGGGTAAAGCACCCTAGGCTTTCTTCTTTGATGTTAGTGAGCAAACAATTGGGCTCACTTAAGTATGGCTATTATAAAGGAGAATCAATGAATGTATGGGAAAAGGCTGAAGCCCTTCTATTGTAAAGGTGTTTTGAAAGTAACACACGGACACGTAGAGGGGAACAACACACGCTGGGGCCTATTGAAGGTAGAGGGTGGGAGGACAGAGAGGATCAGGAAAAATAACTAATGGATACTAGTACTTTTATCACCTGAGTGACAAAATAATCTGTTCAACGAATCCCCCATGACACACATTTACCTATGTAACAAACCTGCAAATGTACCCCCTGAACTTAAAAGTTTTTTAAAAAAATGAGTACATTCTTATTACAACTAGATGACTATATGTAATATGTATTTCATAGTTGATAGCTCCTCATTGCTCTTGGAAAATCAAGCTTTTATTGGCTGAGTGAGGATATTTTTATTAGATGTAAGCTTCTACACAGAAGTGGTGTGGATTAATATTAAAGGATCCAAGTAATAATAGAAGCAAATCATACTTTTTCCACCTCACCTCCCTAGCTGCCTGATGCCTTGAAAAGTCATGCTTCTTTTAAAAATAGTAATGATAAAGAAACTGTTTTGTTCTGTAATCTCCTCAATTTTTATATCCAGGCCTTACACAATATTAGCATCATTGTGAATATTAAAGACTTGCTCTTCTTCTAAAAAACTTTGTATTTACTTTAGCTATATGATAATTGCTGCCATATTGAATAATTTTAATAAAGTGTTGTAATTTTTAAAAGGCTTACACCCAGAGTTTTCATATCTGTTAGCTAATATCTTATCAATTTATCCTTTGGGATCCATATCTAACGTTCTGGTCATCAGTGACATATTTGTTGTTTGTGACTTTTATTGCCAATTATATGGTGGCCATTTGGTGTTAAAAATATATGTAAAGGTAAATGTATCTTTTAAAACATCTTGTACTTTGGATCAGACTCAAAATAGCTTAAAGTAATCTTGCAAGTTCATTAGTTCCTTTCCCTTTAACTTTAAATCTTTTACAAAAAAAAGAGAAAAAAAACCTTTGACTCAAAGCATATGTAATGGTTAAGGATCATTCACACAGGTGAGCTGAATTGAGCTGATTAGTTGTTAAGTGCTTACAGCTGTTAGTTTTGACATTGAGGAAATTATAGAAGACCAGACACATTTCTCCACTTAACTTTAACTGGAGAAGATATGAAGCAAGCATCCTAAAGGAAAATATAATTGTTATGAGAATTAGTTTTCTTAGATTTGCAAAGTAAAATAAAGAAAAAATGAAAGGTAAAAACACAAACTGCCAAAGACTTATTCAATTAACGAATATATCAGGAGAGTTTGAACAGCATCTTGTCTTGAAAGGAAGTTTATAATGGGAAGTCATTCAAACATCTTAAAGTCAACTTAATGAAATGTAGAGTTCCTCTGCGGAATTGCTAACATTTTTCTCTCTCAAATTTTGATGACAGCTTGAAATTTAAAATATTTCATCGAAAGTTGAAATCTTGTGTATTCTATACAATGGATTGAGACCTCCTAAAAATGTCAGAGACAGACAGAATTATCTTTGTGGCAGATAGCCTAGAAAATGTCCTCAGTTTGGCAGGAGAATTGATTGAACCTGGGAGGCAGAGGTTGCAGTGAGCCAAGATCGCGCCACTGCACTC
Source organism: Homo sapiens (assembly GCF_000001405.40). Lineage (NCBI taxonomy): Eukaryota > Metazoa > Chordata > Mammalia > Primates > Hominidae > Homo > Homo sapiens. The sequence continues at coordinate 80,086,360 of NC_000023.11, read as the reverse complement.
CAGCCTGGGTGACAGAGCAAGACTCTGTTTCAAAAAAAAAAAAAAAAAAAAAGTGCTCAATTTAATGTTAGGACCATAAAACATGTATATAGCTAAGTTTAAAAGAAAAAATAAAAACAACCTTGGAATTTTTTTTGAATAGACAGTTTCATTGCCTAAAAGCAGCAACAAGCATAGCAAAGTGAAATCTGTAGTTGCTCATTTCTGAAAATTGAATGTTATTATTTAATCCATCTTGAACACAATTGCCACATGAAATACCATTATTGTTGCAGTGTTCTCTTCTGCAGACACTTCTAGTGGATCCCAATTGGGAGCCAGATTAAACCTCCGAGGCTTTTTCCAGTAGGCAAGCCCCTCAAAGATTCAATCTTAGCCCACCTATCACTATATTAGGACTTTGACAGCCATGGTCCAAACTAAGGGATTTGTCAGCAGCCATAGTTTAAGCAACTAAATTGAAAAGCCAATGTAACATTAAATTGAGCACTGGCACACAATGGAGAAAGGCAAACACTACACATCTAAATAGACTGCATTTTAACCTAAAAAATTACAGAGTTAGAGACAATGGATAATTGAAAAAAACCGTGTTGATAAGCTTTAGTCCTGGGGACTTGCTGAACATTGGCAACCCCAGGGCATAGAGATTAATTGTGGGTGGAAAGGTGAGAATCTTTACCTCAACAGAAGCAGGAGCAGAGTCACCTGGAGCATATCACCTTTCTGATCAAACTCAGCCCCTCTTTAGTCTATCCATTGTTCTTAGTACATTCTACTGTGTCTTTGTTCATGTGCTTCTCCAATTGTAGAGTATCTACCAAGGGGTAGTATAGTATGGCGTTTAAAATACATACTGCCCATGCTTCAATCTGCCACTTACTTCTTGTATTATCTTGGGCAAGTTAGTAAGTGTGCTGCTTCATAGGGCAATTGAGATTATTAAATGAGTTAATATATAAAATGCTGAAGAATGTGTCTGGCACAGAGTAGCTGCTAGGCAAGTTTTTGCTATTACTATTTTTCTTCCCCCCTTCGTCAAAGACCAGTTTAGCTCCCATCAACTCCAGGAAGTTACATAACATACTGGTGCTCCTATAAACTCCTATCACTTATAATCACCGTGAGAGTCCATTGGTGTTATATTTATGTCACCATAGAAAATAATTCACAGTGTTTTAACATTACAGGCATGGGTCATTTAACAATGAGGATACATCCTGAGAAATGAATTGTTAGGTTATTTCATCATTGTGAGACCATCATAGAATATACTTACACAAACCTGGATGGTATAGCCTCCTACACATCTAGGCTATATGGTATAGCCTGTTGCTCCTAGGCTGTAAACCTGTACAGCATGTGAATGCACTCAATAGTATAGATAATTGTGTAATACAATGGCATATGTATATATAACCATATCTAAACATAGAAAAGGTAATGACATCAATAGGCAATAGGAACTTTTTAGCTCCATTATAATCTTATGGGACCACCATCATATATTCAGTCTGTCACTGACTGAAACGTCATTATGCAGCACATAACTGTATTTTAAACTGTCTTTTCTAATGTGTTTAAGTCTTGCCTCTTCATATAGACTATAAACTTGAGAACAGGAGCCATGCCTTATGCATTTATTCTCCCTCTAAACATATCATTGCATAGAGGAGACACTTAAGGAATATTTTTAAATAAATAAATCGATTAACTAGTTATCACAGGTGACAGATTTCACTCTAGACTCAAACATCTTAACCACAAGAAAGAAATGAGTATTTCTCCTTCTCTGAATTATAGCAGCAGTAAATGCTAGTGGTTATGGTTTTACTCTAAAAAGAGAGTAACCTTGTATTTTAATTACAGGTTCCCAGCCTGTTTTAAAGAAAAGGCATTTCAGCCATGGCAAAATGTTTCCTAATGGGAGAGTAACTATTCAGTGTTGAAACCTGCGCTAAGATTATAAACAGTTTCACATATTTTCTTGAATGAAAAATACAGATGAAACAGCAAAATAAAATTCCCAGGAAAGTTCTCTAATGTATTTCATAAGTGAGTATAAAACATCTAATGCAGTTAGGGACCCACAGAACAGGACTTGATTGAACATTACATATTAAAATGTTGACAAACATAGTCAAAATTACAGTGGTCCAGGATTTATAAAACACTTCACATCATGACACATGTAGAGAATGATTATAATGATGATTATAATGCTTATATGACACACTGAGGCAAGCAAAAAGGATTTCTCAAATCAGGGGTAAATGGTTCTAGGACTCTTGTCACTTTATCCCGAAGGACTCTGGCCACTTCAGGTCCTGGCCTACTCCTCTGAGTACTGCAATAACACAAATCTCAGTATACCTGTAACCCATTCACAACACACCCATTAGTTGAGGAATTCTGCTGCTTTTGCAACACGAAGCACTTTAATCTGTAACTTTCAATGCAAAACAAGGAAGGTGTGACAAGAACGTGTAAACCCAGATATGGCATTCATTTTGTTGCATTACTGTGTGCAATAGTCTTTGAGTCTTGCTCAATTGAACAGTTGTACAGCCTACTATCAAGAAGCATTCCTAGCAGAGACTGGTTTCAGTGCAAATCATACTATGTGTCACTTCATTTTTTTCTCATTTATTTATTAATATACTCAATGAGCATTGATTGAGTGCCAACTGTGTGATAGATTCTGTGATAGATACAGATAAAAATGATACCATTGAATTCTGGTAGATACCACAGTAAGAAGTGGATCCTGCTTCACACCTCTGAAGCCATACTGGCCTCAAGCCCAGCAGTGATCTGCGGGTGGGGAGCAGGAAAAGCAAGGAACCCTGTCATACTGAGACTTTGATCCCTTCCCTCAGCCATTCACCAACTTGGCCCAGGACCCTATGCAAGGGTGTTCCTTTACTGTGAACAAACAGAAGACACCTCTCACCCCACTGGATCTGATGCTGTTCTGGCTAATTTAGCAGCAAGTTGGATGAGGCAAAAAGAATGATGGCCTTTGGCCACCATGCTCCACAGATCTGTGAACTGGGACAAACACTGTGTCCCAATTGCACATAATGCCGCCCTGTGTCAGCAATGATGGACAAAGGCCTCAATGGGTGGAAGGTGAGTCAAGCCCCTGAAGAACATAGATTTAGCATTATGGGCTGGGAGCAGAGGCTCACACCTGTAATCTCAGCCTTTGGGAGGCCGAGGCGGGCGGATCACAAGGTCAGGAGTTCAAGACCAGCCTGGCCAACATGGTGAAACCCCATCTCTGCTAAAAATACAAAAATCAGCCAGGTGTGGTGATGTGCACCTGTAGTCCCAGCTACTTGGGAAACTGAGGCAGGAGAATTGCTTGAACCTGGGAGGCAGAGGTTGCAGTGAGCCGAGATCATGCCACTGTACTCCAGCCTGGGCAACAGAGAGAGACTCCATCTCAAAAAAATATTATGTTTATAAATTCAACAGTTTAAAAGAACAAATACCTTTAAACCACAAATATAGAAAACAACAGAACTGAAAAATGGATAGTGAGAAAATTATATAACCAAAATAGAATTTTTTTTTTGGTTTAAAAGATCACAATAAGAAACAATTTTATAATAATAAAGACTTCCAAAAATCCACTCCTTCATAAAGCAGCAAGTAGCCATGCAAAAATTTGTCAAAATCAACTTTTTCAGAATGCCAGAAAATAACCCAATACTTGCAATAATCAAAGGAGTATTATTGTGGAAATATAGCTAAATATATGTCTGAACAGCAAGGTTTGAGATATTATTTACTCTGCCTTATTCCCATCCTCCTCCCAAGTTCAGGGTTAAACTTTATAATAGTCTCCCAATATCATATCTGTGAAAATTAACAGCCTAACACACACTGAAGAAGAACAGGTTTGGAGCTCCTCAAAAGTGTAATCCCCAGATTGTCATTACTTTTTGATATAAAAGGCACTTCCCTACAAAGCTATACTCTCAGGGCTTATCTTTATTTGTACTGACTCAGAGCTGACTCTTTGGGAAGAGCCCTTTTTATAGAGCATTTACCAAAAGTAATCAGTGACCATTTCTTAACACCACATATGCTAAGATATCAATACCAGTTGGACCTAACAAAACACTAACCGAAATTTTTTTTAAAAATCTGGGGAATGAGATATTCATAGTAGGCTTTGAAAAGCTCCAACATATTTCTAGGACTCTAAAAGACCACATATATGCCTACTTCTCTGTTTGTGTCCAGGAAAGACCTGAGAAGGCCCTAACCTCCTACCTATGGCTAACCTTGAGGCTCTATGCAAAGATAAAGTGAAATTTAAGGCAGAGATGTAAACTGCCTGCTGGGATATTGAAGGCATGCCCTGACACACACACAGAGCCATTTGCAAAGGCTGAGAGACTTAATAGTTCAAAGGATTTAAGGAAATAATTGTCCATCATTAGCTGATCACTAACTTAACTGCGCAGAGACTTCAATGGCAGTACAAACAAAAAATATGGACTTTATAAATTAGTCTAAAAATCACTAAAACAGGTGCAGGAGCTGCAGAAGAAACAAAAACAACAGCTAACAGAAACAACAAGCCCTGGGAGAGAGAGGGAATCTGATCATCAGAGTTGCCACATTATGTTATTTAAAATGTTCAGTAATTAACAAAAAATTATGCCAAATAAATTAGAAGAAATGGGAAATTATGGCCAATACACAAGTAAAAAAGAGATCAAAAGAAACTGCTTCTGAGGTGGCCCACATGTGGAATTTACTAGATAAAGACTTTAAATCAGCTACTGTAATCATAAAAAAGAACTAAAGAGAAATTATGGAGTTAAAAAGCAAAATAACTAAAATGAAAAAATTACTAGAGTTTGAACAGAAGATTTAACTGGCAGAAGAAAGAATTGGAAAACTCAAAGACAGAACAGTTGAGAATATACAGTCTAAGAAACATAAAGAAAAAAGAGGGAAGAGAAATGAACAGAGCCTTAGACACCTGTGGAATACCATCAATTGTATCAACAAATGCATGATGAAAGTTCCTAAAAGAGAGCAGACAGTGTAGGAGCAAAATAATATCTTAAAAAGTAATGGCTCGGCCGGGCATGGTGGCTCACACCTGTAATCCTAGCACTTTGGGAGGCTGAGGCTGGTGGATTGCCTGAGCTCAGGAGTTCGAGACCAGCCTGGACAACATGGTTAAACCCTGTCTCTACTAAAAATACAAAAAAAAAAAAAAAATTAGCCGTACATGGCAGCGTGCACCTGTAGTCCCAGCTACTCAGGAGGCTGAGGGAGGAGAATTGCTTGAATCCGGGAGGCGGAGGTTGCAGTGAGCTGAGATTGCGCCACTGCACTCCAGCCTTGGTGACAGAGTGAGACTCTGTCTCCAAAAGAAAAGAAAAAAAAGTAATGGTTCAAAACTCTCCAAATTAGAAAGAGAAAAATAAAACACACATATTAGTGTACACATCCAAGATGCTCAATGAACTCCAGATAGGATAAGCACAAAAAAGTCCACAGCTGGAAACATCATAGTCAATTTTTTGGAAGACAAATAGTGAATTTTGAAAGCATAAATAGAGAATCAACTCATCATATAGAAGGACTCTTCAATACAATTAAAGACTTGTCATCAGAAACCATGGAAACCAAAACACTACATAATGATATATTCAAAGTGCAGAAAGCAGAATATTATCAATGATTCTATACCCAGCAAAATTGTCCTTCAATAATGAAGGAGAAAATGAAAGAGAAAGTAAAGAACGAAGGAAAAATAAAGACATTCTCAGATAAAAACTGAGACAAATTGTCACTGATAGAACTGTCTTGGCCAGGCACGGTGGCTCATGCCTGTAATCTGAGCAATCTGGGAGGCCAAGGTGAGCAGACCACTTGAGGTCAGGAGTTAGAGACCAGCCTGGCCAACAAGGTAAAACCCCATCTCTATTAAAAATACAAAAATTAGTTGGGCATGGTGGCAGAAGCCTGTAATCCCCACTATTTGAGAGGTTGAGGCTTGAGCCGAGATGGCACCACTGCACTCCAGCCTGGGCAACAGAGTGAGACTCTATCACAAATGTAAATAAATATATACAAATAAGAACTGTCTTATAAAAAATACTAAAGGGAGTCCTTCAGGTGGAAACAAAAGGACCCTAGACAATAAGTCAAATCCACACACAAAAAAGTAATGAGCATGAGTACAGGTAACTACATATGTTAAATATTAAACAATACATAAATGCATTTTTGTTTTTGACTCTTTTCTTTCCAAATTTTATTATAAGTTCAGGGGTTACATATGCAGGTTTCTTACAAAGGTATATTGTGTAATATTGAGGTTTACAGTATAATTGAATCCTTTTCCCAGATAGTGAGTATAGTACCCAATGGGTAATTTTTTAGCCTTTGGCCCCTTCCTCCCATTCTCTTCTTGTATTCCCTAGTGTCTATTGTTTTCATGTTTATGTCCATGCAGACTTAAAGTTTAGCTACCACTTATAAAGTGAGAATATGAAATATGTGGTTTTCTCTTCCTGTATTAGTTCACTTAGGATAATGGCCTACAACTGGATCCATATTACTGCAAAAGACATAATTTCATTCTTTTATGGCTACATAGTATACCATGATGTATATATACTACATTTTCTTTATCCAATCCAGACTTGACAAGCATCTGGGTTAATTTCATGTCTTTGCTATTGTGAATAGCACTGTGATAAACATACATGTATATGTGTCTTTTTTGTAGGTCAACTTATTTTCCTTTGATTATACACCCAGTAATAGAATTGCTGGATTGAATGGTAGCTTAACTCTTAATTCCCTGAGACATCTCCAAACTGCTCTCCACAATGGCTAATTTACATTCCCATTAACAAAGTATAAGTGTTCCGCTTTCTCAGCAGCCTCACCAACATCTGTTGTAGTTAAGCTTTTTAATAATAGCTGTTCTGACTAGTGTGAGATAATATCTCATTGTATTTTGATTTCCATTTCTCTGATGATTAGTGATGATGAGCATTTGTTCATGTTTGTTGAACACTTGAATATCTTCTCTTGAGAAGTGTCTGTTCATGTTCTTTGCCCACTTTTTAATGGGGTTATTTGTTTTCTGTATGTTGATTTAAGTTCCCTATAGATTCTTGATATTAGGCTTTTGTCAGATACATCATTTGTGAATATTTTCTCCTATCTGTAGGGCATCTGTTTACTCCCTTGATAGTTTCTTTTGCTGTGCATAAACAATTTCATTTAATTAGGTCCAACCTGTCAATTTTTATTTTTGTTGCAATTACTTTTGAGGTCGTAGCCATACAGCCAACTTACAGAAACAACAAAAATCCTCAGAGACTATTATGAAACACCTCTATGCATACAAACTAGATAATCTAGAAGAAATGGATAAATTCCTGAAAATACACAATCTTCCAAACTGAACCAGGAAGAAACTGAAACTTGGAAGAGACTGATAAAGGGGTCTGAAATTGAATCAGTAACAAAAAACCTACCAATCAAAAAAGCTCTGGGCCAGATGGATTCAGAGTCAAATTTTACCAGACATACAGAGAAGAGCTGGCACCCATCGTATTAAAACTACTCCAAAAAATTGAGGAGGGACTCACCCCTAATCCATTCTATGAAGCCAGAATCATTCTGATGCCAAAATCTGGCGGAGACGCAATGTAAAAAGAAAACATCAGAGCAGTATCCCTGATGAACTTGGATGCAAAAGTTCTGAACAAAATACTAGCAAATCAAATCCAGCAGCATATTAAAAAGTTAATTCACCAAGATCAAGTGAGCTTTATTCCTGGAATGCAACATAGTTTCAACATATGCAAATCAATAATTGTGATTCACCACATAAACAGGATAAAAAACAAAAACTACATGACCGTCTCAATAGATGTGAAAAAGCTTTTGATAAAATTCAACATGACAAAAACCTTTATGACAAAAACCCTCAACAAAATAGGCATCAAAGAAGCGTACCTCAAAATAATAAGAGCCATCTAGGACTAGAAGCAACTACTGCACACCACTCTCATGGATAGAAGAAAAAGTAGTGAGTAAATACCAGAACTTCAACAGAAACATCCAGGTGGACAAATTGAGATTTATCATGGAAAGAGCTTGAGCCACAGAGAATGGAGAGGAGTGAGACAGGAGGACCACCCACCAGGGAGTGGCACAGAGCCAGGCAAGGCTTTCCCATTGTGGAGAAATGGTGAGTGAATGAGTGAGAGTCCCAGGGGAACCATACTTTTTCTGCAGACCTTTCAACCCTGGGCTCAGGAGATTCCTTCATGAGACCATCCCACCTGGGCCTTCACATTGTCACACAGAGCTGCGGGGATTTTGGGCAGAGCCACCACTGAGGAACACATGGGGTCTCAGGAACTTTGGCTCCTCGGGCATCCCAGTATTACTGGCTGCAGCTCTGTCAATGGGGGAGGTCAGGCTCCCTCACATGCCCCCAGGAAAGGGACCAAATCCAGAAGGCTGAGCAGCAGGGCCCCTGATCCCACTTTTCCTCTCTAGGTGGGACTTCCTGAACCAGGACTTGAGCCCCCCACTGCTGGGGCTCTCTGGCTGGTAGCACCTCTGCACTTCCCTGGGACAGAGCTCCCACAGGGAGAAGCAAGCTTCCTTTTTTGGCTGTCTCACAGCGCTCATCACTGTTGCCTTCAGGCTCCGGAGGGTGCAAAGTGACTAGGAATGGGTGTGGTTCCCCAGTACAATACAGCCGCCCCATGGAAAAGCAGCCAGTTTATATGCAGGTCCCCCATCTGGCTTCTCCTCCCTGGGAAGGACTTCCCAACTCAAGACTTCAGCTACCATCTGCTGGGGCTCCAAGCCGGTGGCAGCTCTGAGCAGCCACCCTATGGAAAAAGCAGCCAGGCCTTTTTCCACATGGGCCCCCAATCCCACTTCTTACTGGGCAGGCCCTCCCGCTTCCAACCTGGGACTCCAACATAACTACCCTACTCCCACATGAACACTTCAATTGGAGGTGAATCTGAAGTTCTGTGAGTAGAAAATTCCAGCGATAACCCACCTCCCTGCCATTGCAGCTGCAGTGGTACTTCCCTAACCACCCTTGTGCTGGGGAAGGAACTTAGGACTTAGTGCTATACTGGCACCTCCAGCACACTACAGCTGCCATATGGAGAGGAATCCTGGCCCTCTTCCCTGTGATTCCCCACTCCCCACTCTTCACCAGGGAGGGCCCCTGGCTCAGGACTGCAGATTAGCAACACCACCAATGGCTGAGACTACTCTCTGGTAGTGCCTTGGAGTTTTCCTAGGAAGAGGCTCCAAGAAACAACTGACAGCCCCTCTGCCACTGCTACAGCAGTGGTTCTACCCCAGCTGCCCTCTGTCAGGAAGAAACAAAGTGCCTGAGGGCTTCAGCCATACTCCTAGCACATGACTATCACCATACAGACAGGAGCTCAGTCTAGCCTCCCTGAGAGCCCATGATGGTCTGCTATTCAACAAGTGGAGCCCTTAGCTCAGTCTAGTAGTACAGCTGCCTTAACCCCTGGCTGAACATTCCCAGTAGCAGTGGCTCCACATTTCTCTGAGGTGGAGCACCCAGAGGCAGCTGAAAGCCTCTATCCCACTGCCACTGCAGTGGTACATCCCTTATGCTCTTGGACAGGAGAAGGAACAAAGACCTTGAGTTCTTTAACCACACCTCCATCAAGCTGCCATTTTTCTAAGGATAAGAGGCCAGTATGTCTCCCCTGTGACTCACCCACAACCCTGCTCATTATTAGGCAGGCCCCACAATGATTTGGGCCCATAGCACAGGTGCCCCATCACAGGCTTATCTCACTGATTGATAGTGGCTTTACATCTCTCTGGGGTGGAGCCCCAATAAATCAGTGAAAGGTCCTTTACCCCAACCACAGCTGAGGTCCCTTCCTTCAATGCCTCCAAGCTGGGGAGGTAACATAAAGCCAGCACTCACCTGAGAGATTCGATGTGCAGCCCAAGAGTGCCAAGCCAAGATCTGCAGCAAGCACTGAGGCAGAGCACAGGGGCAATTGTGAGGAAATACAGAGGAGGAAAATGACTCAGCAAGAGCTTAACTATTGGTCATTTTGCTTAAGTGCCACCTACTGAATTACAGAACAAAATTCCAACACCCAAAATACTTTTCTTTTTTTTTTTTTTAATTATACTTTAAGTTCTAGGGTACATGTTCACAACATGCAGGTTTGTTACATATGTATACATGTGCCATGTCGGTGTGCTGCACCCATTAACTCATCATTTACATTAGGTGTATCTCCTAATGCTATCCCTCCCCCTTCTCCCAACCCCATGACAGGCCCCGGTGTGTGATGTTCCTCTTCCTGTGTCCAAGTGTTCTCATTGTTCAATTCCCACCTATGAGTGAGAACATGTGGTGTTTGGTTTTTTGTCCTTGCAATAGTTTGCTGAGAATGATGGTTTCCAGCTTCATCCATGTCCCTAAAAAGGACATGAACTCATCCTTTTTTATGGCTGCATAGTATTCCATGGTGTATATGTGCCACATTTTCTTAATCCAGTCTATCATTGTTGGACATTTGGGTTGGTTCCAAGTATTTGCTATTGTGAATAGTGCTGCAATAAACACATGTGTGCATGTGTCTTTATAGCAGCATGATTTATAATCCTTTGGGTATATACTCAGTAATGGGATGGCTGGGTCAAATGGTATTTCTAGTTCTAGATCCTTGAGGAATCGCCACACTGTCTTCCACAATGGTTGAACTAGTTTGCAGTCCCACCAACAGTGTAAAAGTGTTCCTATTTCTCCACATCCTCTCCAGCACCTGTTGTTTCCTGACTTTTTAATGATCGCCATTCTAATAGATGTGAGATGGTATCTCATTGTGGTTTTGATTTGCATTTCTCTGATGGCCAGTGATGATGAGCTTCTTTTCATGTGTGTTTTGGCTGCATAAATGTCTTCTTTTGAGAAGTGTCTGTTCATATCCTTTGCCCACTTTTTGATGGGGTTCTTTGTTTTTTTCTTGTAAATTTGAGTTCATTGTAGATTCTGGATATTAGCCCTTTGTCAGATGAGTAGATTGCAAACATTTTCTCCCATTCTGTAGGTTGCCTGTTAACTCTGATGGTAGTTTCTTTTGCTGTGCAGAAGCTCTTGAGTTTAATTAGATGCCATTTGTCAGTTTTGGCTTTTGTTGCCACTACTTTAGGTGTTTTAGACATGAAGTCCTTGCCCATGCCTATGTCCTGAATGGTATTGCCTAGGTTTTCTTCTAGGGTTTTTATGGTTTTAGGTCTAACATGTAAGTCTTTAATCCATCTTGAATTGATTTTTGTACAAGGTGTAAGGAAGGGATCCAGTTTCAGCTTTCTACATATGGCTAGCCAGTTTTCCCATCACCATTTATTAAATAGAGAATCCTTTCCCCATTTCTAGTTTTTGTCAGGTTTGTCAAAGATGAGATGGTTGTAGATGTGTGGTATTATTTCTGAGGGCTCTGTTCTGTTCCATTGGTCTATATCTCTGTTTTGGTACCAGTAGCATGCTGTTTTGGTTACTGTAGCCTTGTAGTATAGTTTGAAGTCAGGTAGTGTGATGCCTCCAGCTTTGTTCTTTTTGCTTAGGATCGTCTTGGCAATGCATGCTCTTTTTTGGTTCCATATGAACTTTAAAGTAGTTTTTTCCAATTCTGTGATGAAAGTCATTGGTAGCTTGATGGGGATGGCATTGAATCTATAAATTACCTTGGGCAGTATGGCCATTTTCACGATATTGATTCTTCCTGTCCATGTACCCCACTGTAAAACCAGAGAGAGGAGTTCAGCTATAAATAAAGCCCCTGCACAAAGCCTGAGTCTTCTGAAATCATAGAGAAAGAAGTCTACTGACTATACTCTATTGAACACCAGCCCACAGAGTTGAGAAAGAACCAGCACAGGAACTCTGGCTACTCAAAATGCCAGAGTGGCCTTTTTCCTCCAAATGACTGCACTGGATCCCCAGCAAGAATTCTTAACAAGGCTGAAAGGACAGAAATAGAATTCAGAATAGGAATAGGATTGAAGATCATCAAGATTCATGAGAAAGTCAACACCAGGTCCAAGGAATCTAAGAATTGCCGTAAAACCATACAGGAGCTGATAGATTAAATGATAGTCATTTTGAAAGGAATCACGTTTGATAGAGCTGAAAAACACACTAAGGTAATTTTATAATGTAATCACAATTATTAACATCAGAATATACCAAACTGAGGAAGGACTCTAGAGCCCTGAGACATATTCCCTAAAACATATCAGTTAAACAAAGAAAACACATGAACAAAACATCTGAGAAATATGGACTTATGTATAGAGACCAAATCTACAACTAATTGGTCTCCCTGAAAGAAATGTGGTGAAAGGAAGTAACTCGAAAAACATATTTCAGGATAATTCATTAAGAATTCCCCAACCTGGCTAGAGAGGCCAGCATTCAAATTTAGGAAATACAGAAAATCCCTGTGAGATATTACACAAGAAGACCATCCCCAAGACATATAGTTATCAGATCATCCATTGTCAATATTAAATAAAAATGTTAAAGGCAGCTATAAAGAAGAGGCAGGTCACCTACAAAAGGCTAACAGCAGACTTTTCATAAGAAACTCTATAAGCAAGAAGAGTTTGGAGACTTATATTCAACATTCTTTAAAAAAATTTAAATCAATAATTTTATATTCAGCCAAACAAAGCTTCATAAGTAAGGGAGAAATAAAATCCTTTTCAGACAAGCAAATGTGGAGGAAATTTGTTAGCACCAGACCTGCCTTAGGAGAGGTCCTAAAAGGAGTGATAGCTATAGAAAAGAAATGTCGTTACCAGCCACTACAAAGCACACTTAAGTACATGGAGGAGTGACTCTATAAAGCAACCACACAAACAAGTCTGCATAATAACCAGCTAGCAGCATGTTGACAGAATCAAACCTACATACATCAATACAAACTTTGAATGTAAATGGGCTAAAGGACCCCAAAAAAAAGCACAGAATGGCAAGCTGGATGAAGGAGCAAGATCCAGTGGTATGCAGTCTTCAAGAGAACCATCTCACGTTCAATGACACAAATAGGCTCAAAATAAAGGCATGGAGAAAAACCACCAAACAAATGGAAAACAGGCAAAAGCAGGAGTTGGCATCCTAATTTCAGACAAAACAGACTTTAAACCAACAAGATAAAAAAAAAAGGAAGGACCTTACATAATGGTAAAGGGTTCAATTCAACAAAAATACTTAGCTATCATAAATATATATGTATCCAACATAGGAGCACCAAGATTCATAAAGCAAGTCCTTAGAGATCTTTGGAGAGACTTCACTTCAAACACAATAATATTTGGAGACTTAAACACCCCACTGACATTATTAGGCAGATGATTAAGGCAGGAAAATAACAAAGAAATTGAGAACCTGAACTCAACATTTAAACAAATGAACCTAATATACATCTACAGAACTCTCCACCCCAAAACAACAGAATATACATTCTTCTCATCACCACATGAAACATACTTTAAAATTGGGCAAACAATCTGATATAGTTTGACTGTGTCCCCACCCAAAACTCATCTTCATAAGATCTGATAGTTTTATAATGGGCTTCCACCTTTGCTGGACACTAATTCTCTCACCTGTTACCCTGTGACGAGGTGCCTTCTGCCATGATTGTAAGTATCCTGTACAGCTGTGCAGAACTGTGATTCAATTAAACCTGTGATTCAATTAAACCTCCTTTCTTTGTAAATTACCCAGTCTTGGGTATTTCTTTATAGCAGCATTAGAATGAACTAATACAGTAAACTGGTACCACAGAGAATAAGGTGCTACTATAAAAATACCCAAAAATGTGAAAGCAACTTTGGAACTGGGTAACAGGCAGAGATTTGAGCGTTTTGGAGGGCACGGAAGAAGATAGGAAGATTTGGGAAAGTTTGGAACTTCTTAGAGAACTGTTGTGTGGCTTTGGCCAAAATACTGATAATGACCTGTGCAAAGGAGTCCAGGTTGAGGTGGTCTCAGATGGAGATAGGGAACCTGTTGGAATCTGGAGTAAAGGTCCCTCTTGTTATGCAAAGGGACTGGTGGCATTTTGCCCCTGCCCCAGAGATAGGTGGGGCAATGAACCTGAGAGGTTATTTAGGGTATCTAGAGGGAAATATTTCTAAAAAACAAAATTCTAGGGAGAAAATCAAGCCTGCTGCAGAAATTTACCTAAGTAATGAGGAGCTGAATGTTATTCACAAAGACAATGGGGGAAGTGTCTTCAGGGTATGTCAGGGACCTTCAGGGAAGCCCCTCCCATCACAAGCCCAGAGGCCTAAGAGGGAAAAATGATTTCACGGGCCAGGTCCAGCCCCCCACCCTGCTGCTCTGTGCAGCCTCCAGACTTGCCACCCTGTGTCCCAACTGTGACTAAAGGGGGACAACTGTGACTAAAGGGGGACATCCTCTGCCTAGATTTCAGAGGATGTATGGCAATGCTTGGATGTCCAGGCAGAAGATTACTGCAGGGGCAGAGCCCTCATGGAAAATGTCTGCTAGGGCAATGTGGAAAAAATAATGTGGTGTCAGAGCCTGTACACAGAGTCCCCACTTGGCCACTGCCTAGTGGAGCTGTGAGAAGAGAGCCGCCATCCTCCAGACCCCAGAATGGTAGATCCACAGCAGCTTGAACCATACACCTGGAAAAGCCACAGATACTCAATGCCAGCCCATGAAAACAGACAGAAGGGGGGCTGAATCCTGCAAAAGCCACAGTTGTGGAGCCGTCCAAGGCCATGGGAGCCCACCTCTTGCATTAGCATGACCTGGATGTGAGACATGGAGTCAAAGGAGATCATATTGGAACCTTAAGGCTTATTGACTACCCTATGAGATTTTGGACTTCCATGGAGCCTGTAGCCCCTTTGTTTTGGCCAATTTCTCCCACTCGGAATGGTTGTATTTACAGAATGTCCCACTGTATCTAGGAAGTAATTAAGTTGCTTTTGATTTTACATGCTCATAAGAGATTTGCCTTGTCTCAGATGAAACTTTGGATTTGGACTTTTAAGTTAATGCTGGAATGAGTTAAGACTTTAGGGGACTATAAACATGGTAGGATTGTGTTTTGAATTGTGAGGCCATAAGATTTGAGAGGAGCCAAAGGTGGAATCATATGGTTTGGCTGTGTCCTTACCCAAATTTCATCTTGAATTTTAGTTCCCATAATCCCCATGTGTTGTGGGAGAGACCAGATGGAGATAAATGAATCACAGGGGCAGTTTCCCCTATCCTATTATCCTGATAGCAAGTCAGTTCTCATGAGATCTGATAGTTTTATAAGGGGCTTTCCCCTTCACTGGTCACTCATTCTCTCTCCTGCCACCCTGTGAAGATGTGCCTTATGCCATGATTGTACATTTCCTGAGGTCTGCCCAGCCATGTGGAACTGTAAGTCAATTAAACCTCTTTTCTTTATAAATTACCCAGTCTCTGGTATTTCTTCATAGCAGTGTGAGAACAGACTAATACACAATCAGACGTAAAATAATACTCAGAAAATAAAATAAAAATATACCAGCCACACTCTTAAACCACAGTGCAATAAAAATAGAAATCAATGCTAATAAAATTGCTCAAAATCATACAATAACATAGAGATTAAACAACATTATCCTGAAAGACTTTGGGGTAAATAATAACATTAAGGAAAAAATCAAGAAGTTCTCTGAAATTAGTGACAACAAATATACAAAATATGAGACTCTCCGGGACACAGCTAAAGTAGTGTTAAGAGGGAAGTTTATAGCACTAAATATCCATATCAAAAAATTAGACAGATTTCAAATTAACAAGCTAACATCACAACTAGAGAAATAAGAACAAACCAAATCTAAAAGAAGGAGATAAATCAAAATCAGAGCTGAATTTAAAGAAATTGAGACATGAAAATCTATTCAGAATATCAACAAATCCAAGAGTTGGTATTTTGATAAAATAAATAACATAGACCTCTCCTCTAGCTAGACTAATAAAAAAGAGAGAAGATCCAAATGAACACAATTCAAAATGACAAAGAGGACATTACCAATGGACATGAATGTCTGTGAAAACATCTATGCACACAAGCTAGAAAATCTGGAAGAAATTGATAAATTCCTGGAAACAAACGCTTTCTAAGACTGACCCAGGAGGAAGTTAAGTCTCCAAACAGACTAATAATGAGTTCCACGATTGAAATGATAATAAAACACCTACCAACAAGAAAAAGCCCAAGACAATTCAGATTCACAGCTAAATTCTACCATATGTATAAAGAAGAGATGGTACTATTTCTACTGAAATTATTTCAAAATTTGAGAAGAAAGTACTCCTCTGTAACCCATTCTACTGAGACCAAAATCATTCTGATACCAAAACCTGTCAGAGACACAACAAAGAAAGAAAACTTCAGGATAATATCCTTGATGAACCTCAGTGCAAAAGTTCGCAATAAAATACTGGCAAACTGAATCCAGCAGCACCCAAAAACCTTATCCACCACAATCATGTTGGCTTCATCCCCAGGATACAAGATTGGTTCAACATACATAAATCAATAAATGGGGTTTATCACATAAACCAAACTAAACACAAAACCCTCATAACCATCTCAATAAATGCAGAAAATGTTTTAAATAAAATTTAACATCACTTCATGTTAAAAGCCCTCAGTAAACTAGGCATAGAAGGAACATACTTCAAAATAATAAGTGCCATCTATGGCAAACCCAGAGACAACATCTTGCTGAATGGGCAAAAGCTGAAAGCATTTCCCTTGAAAACTAGAACAAGACAGGGATGCCCTTTAACATTACTCCTAGTCAACATAGCACTGACAGTCCTGCCAAGAGCAATCAAGCAATATAAATAAATAAATGCCACACAAAGAGAAAAAGAGGAAGTCAAAATATCCATGTTTCTACACATGATTCTATGTCTATAAGGCCCCATAGTCTCATTCCAAATGCTCCTTTGTATGATAAACAACTTTAGCAAAGTTTCAGGATACAAAAATCAATGTACAAAAATCAGTAGAATTCCCATACACCAACAGCCAAGCTGAAAGCCAAATCAGGAATGCAATCCTATTTACATAACCACAAAAGGAATATAATACCTAGGAATACAGCTAACTAAAGAGGCAAAAGATCTGCACAATGAGAATTACAAAACACTGCACAAAGAAATCAGTGATACAAACAAACAAACAAAAATTCCATGCTCATGGATAGAAATAATCAATACTGTTAAAATAGTAATATTACCCAAAACAATCTACAGATTCAATGCTATTCCTACCAAACTACCAATGACATTATTTGCAGAATTAGAAAAACTATATTAAAATTTGTATGGAAACAAAAGAGAGCTTGAATAACCAAGCAATCCTAAGAAATAAGAACAAAGCTGAAGACATCATGTTACATAATTTTAAACTATATTGTAAGGCTACAGTAACCAAAACAGTGTGGTACTGGTACAAAAACAAACTCATAGACCAATGGAACAAAATAGAGAGCCCAGAAATAATACCACACATCTACAACCATCTGATCTTTGACAAATCTGACAAAAACAAGCAATGAAGAAATGACTCTCTCTTTCTAAAGGTGCTGGCATAACTAGCTGGCCATATGCAGAAGACTGAAAGTGAAACCCTTCCTTACACCACATGCAAAAATCAACTCAAGATTGATTAAAGGTTTAAATGTAAAGCCTAAAACTATAATGCACTGAAAGATAACCTAGGAAATATTCTAGAAATATGACCTGGCAAAGATTTCACTACGAATACACCAAAAAATTTGCAATAAAAACAAAAATTTATAAGTGAGACCTAATTAAAGTGCTTCTACATAGCAAAATAAACTATTAACAGGGTAAACAGAAAACCTACAAATTGGTAGAAAATACTTGCAAACTATACATCTGACAAAGGTCTCATATCCAGAGTCTATAAGAAATTTAAATCAACAAGGAAAACAAAAAAATTAAAAAGTGGGCAAAGGACATGAACAGGCACTATTCAAAAGAAGACAAAAATATGGCCAATAAGCATATGAAAAATGGTCAACATCACTAATCATTAGAGAAATGTAAATCAAAGCCACCATCGGATATCATCTCACACCAGTCAGAATGACTATTGTGAAAATGTCAAAAGATAACAGAAGCTGGTGAGGTTGCAGAGAAAAAAAAAAAACTGCTGTGTGAAATGTAAATTAGTCCAGGTGTTGTGGAAAGCAGAGTGGCAGTTTCTCAAACAGCTTGAAACAGAATTATCATTTGACCCAGCAATATCATTATTCAATATATGCCCAAAAGAATATAAATTGATCTAAAAACACATGCAGGCATATGTTCTTTGCAGCACTGTTTACAATAGCAAAGATATGGAATCAACGTAAATGCCCATCAATGATAGACTGAATAAAGAAAATTTGGTACTTATACACCATGGAATACTACATGGAATGAGATCATGTCCTTTGCAGCAACATGGATGGAGCTGGAAGTCATTACCTTAAGCAAACTAATGCAGGAAAAGAAAATTTCATACTGCATGTTCCCACTTATAAATGGGAGCTAAACAATTAAACACATGAACACAAAAAGGGGAACAACAGACACCAAGTTCTATTTGAGGGTGGAGAGTTGGAGAAAAGAGAGGATCAGAAAAAAACTACCTATTGGATACTATGCTTATTCCCTTTGTGATTAAATAAACTGTACACTAAACCACCATGACATGCAGTTTACCTATAAAACAAACCTGCACATGTACCCCTGAACCTAAAATAAAACTTATAACAAAAAAGAGCCATCTATGAAAAACCCACAGCCACCTTCATACTGAATGGACAAAAACTGGAAGCATTCTCCTTGAAAACTGGAAAAATAAGAAGATGCCCACACTTACCACTCCTATTAAACATAATACTAGAAATGCAAGCCAAAGCAATCAGGCAAGGGAAAGAAATAAAATACACCAAAATTGAAAAAGAAGTCAAACTATGTTTCTTAGTGGATCTTATGATTCTATACCTAGAAAACCATAATGACTACTACAAATGCCCCCTGGAACTGACAAATGACTTCTGTAAAGTTTCAGAATACAAAATCAATATATAACCATCAGTTGTATGTATATACAGCAATAAAGTTCAAACTGAGAGCCAAATCAAGAACATAATCCCATTTACAATTGCCACCAATAAAGTAAAATAAATTACCTAAGACTATCTAACCAAAGAGTTGAAAGATCTCTATAAGAAGAACTACAAAATGCTACTGAAAGAAATCATAGGAAACACAAACAAATGCAAAACAACTTTATGCTCATGGATTGGAAGAATCCATATTGTTAAAGTGGCCATACCACCCAAAGAAATCTACAGATTTAATGCTATTTCTATCAAGCTATAAATGTCATTTTTCACAGAACTAGAAAAAATTTCCAAAATTTATATGGAACCAGAAAGTAGCACAAACATCCAAAGCAATCCTAAGCAGAAAGAATAAAGCTGGAGACATCCCATTACCTGACTTGAAACTATGCTATAAGACTACATTAATGATCCATTCCAAGATGGCCAAAATGAACAGCTCAAGTCTACAGCTCTCAGACTGATCGACACAGAAGATGGGTGATTTCTGCATTTACAAATGAGGTACATAGTTCATCTCATTGGGACTGGTCAGAAAGTGGAAGGAGCCCACTGAGGGCAAGCCGAAACAGGTCAGGGCATCACCTCACCCGGGAAGTGCAAGGGGTAAGGGGATTTCCCTTTCCTAGCCAAGGGAAGCCATGACAGACTGTACCAGGAAAATCAGGACACTGCCACCTAAACACTGTGCTTTTCCAACGGTCTTAGCAAATGGCACACCAGGAGATTATATCCCGTGCCTGGCTCAGCGAGTCCCACACCCACGGAGCCTTGCTCACTGCTAGTCTGAGATGGAACTGCAAGGTGGCAAGCCTGGCTGGGGGAGGGGTGTCCCCCATTGCTGAGGCTTGAGTAGTTAAGCAAAGCAGCTGGCAAGATTGAAATGTGTGGAGCCCACCACAGCTCAAGGAGGCCCACCTGCCTCTGCAGACTCCACCTCTGGGGGCAGGGCATAGCTGAATAAAAGGTAGCAGAAACTTCTGCAGACTTAAACGTCCCTGTCTGGCAGCTGTGAGGAGAGCAGTGGTTCTCCCAGCATGGTGTTTGAGCTCTGAGAATGGACAGACTGCCTCCTCAAGTGGGTCCCTGACCCCATGTAGCCTAACTTGGAGACACCTCCCAGTAGGGGCCGACTGACACCTCATACAGCTGGGTGCCCCTCTGAGACGAAGCTTCCAGAGGCAGGATCAGGCAGCAATATTTGCTGTTCCACAAAATTTGCTGTTCTGCAGCCTCTGTTGTTGATACCGAGGCAAACAGAACCTGGAGTGGACCTCCAGAAAACTCCAACAGACCTGCAGCTGAGGGACCTGACTGTTAGAAGGAAAACTAATAATCAGAAAGGAATAGCATCAACATCAACAAAAAGGACATCCACACTAAAACCGACAACTGTAGGTCACCATCATCAAAGACCAAAGGAAGATAAAACCACAAAGATGGGGAGAAACCAGAGCAGAAAAGTTGAAAATTCTAAAAACCAGAGTGCCACTTCTCCTCCAAAGGATCACAGCTCCTCACCAGCAATGGAACAAAACAGGATGGAGAAAGAATTTGATGAGGTGACAGAAGTAGGCTTCAGACAGTCGGTAATAACAAACTTCTCCAAGATAAAGAAAGAAGTTCAAACCCATCGCAAGGAAGCTAAAAACCTTGAACAAAGATTAGATGAATGGCTAACTAGAATAAACAGTGTAGAGAAGACCTTAAATGACCTGATGGAGCTGAAAACCATGGCATGAGAACTATGTGACACATGCACAAGCTTCAGTAGCCAACTCGATCAAGTGGAAGAAAGGGTATCAGTGATTGAAGATCAAATTACTGAAACGAAGCAAGAAGAGAAGTTTAGAGAAAAAAAAGAGTAAAAAGAAATGAACAAAGCCTCCAAGAAATATGGGACTATGTGAAAAGACCAAATCTACATCTGATTGGTGTACCTGAAAGTGAAGGGGAGAATGGAACAAAGCTGGAAATCACAGCAGGATATTATCCAGGAGAACTTCCCCAACCTAGCAAGGCAGGTCAAATTCAGGAAATACAGAGAACACTACAAAGATACTCCTCGAGAAGAGCAACTCCAAGACACATAATTGTCAGATTCACCAAGGTAGCAAAGAAGGAAAAAATGTTAAGGGCAGCCAGAGAGAAAGGTTGGTTACCCCCAAAGGGAAGGCTATTAGACAAACAGTGGATCTCTCAGCAGAAACCATACAAGCCAGAAGAGAGTGGGGGCCAATATTCAAC
Source organism: Homo sapiens (assembly GCF_000001405.40). NCBI lineage: Eukaryota > Metazoa > Chordata > Mammalia > Primates > Hominidae > Homo > Homo sapiens. Next base: position 80,064,859 of record NC_000023.11, on the reverse strand, counting down.
ATTATTAAACAAAAGAATTTTCAATGCAGAATTTCATATCCAGCCAAACTAAGCTTCATAAGTGAAGGAGAAATAAAATACTTCACAGACAAGCAAATGCTGAGAGATTATTTCACCACCACACCTGCCCTACAAGAGCTCCCGAAGGAAGCACTAAACATGGAAAGGAACAACCAGTACCAGCCACTGCAAAAACATGCCAAAATTTAAAGACAATCAATGCTGGGAAGAAACTGCATCAACTAACGAGCAAAATAGCCAGCTAACATCATAATGACAGGATTAAATTCACACATAACAATATTAACCTTAAATGTAAATGGGCTAAATGCTCCAGTTAAAAGACACAGACTGGCAAATTGGATAAAGAGTCAAGACCCATCAGTGTGCTGTATTCAGGAAACCCATCTCACCTGCAGAGACACATATAGGCTCAAAATAAAGGGATGGAGGAAGATCTACCAAGCAAATGGAAAACAAAAAAAGGCAGGGGTTGCAATCCTAGTCTCTGATAAAACCGACTTTAAACTAACAAAGATCAAAAGAGACAAAGAAGGCCATTACATAATGGTAAAGGGATCAATTCAACGAGAAGACCTAACTATCTTAAATATATATGCACCCAATATAGGAGCACCCAGATTCATAAAGCAAGTCCTTAGAGATGTACGAAGAGACTTAGACTCTCACACAATAATAATGGGAGATTTTAACACTCCACTGTCAACATTAGACAGTTCAACGAGACAGAAGGTTAACAAGGATATCCAGGAATTGAACTCAGCTCTGCACCAAGTGGACCTAATAGACATCTATAGAACTCTCCACCCCAAATCAACAGAATATACATTCTTCTCAGCACCACATCGCACTTATTCCAAAATTGACCACATAGTTGGAAGAAAAGCACTCCTCAGCGAACCTAAATGAACAGAAATTATAACAAACTGTCTCTCAGACCACAGTGCGGTCAAACTAGAACTCAGGTTTAAGAAACTCACTCAAAACCTCTCAACTACATGGAAACTGAACAACCTGCTCCTGAATGACTACTGGGTACATAGCAAAATGAAGGCAGAATAAAGATGTTCTTTGAAACCAATGAGAACAAAGACACAACATACCGTAATCTCTGGGACACATTTTAAGCAATGTGTAGAGGGAAATTTATAGCACTAAATGCCCACAAGAGAAAGCAGGAAAGATCTAAAATTGACACCCTAACATCACAATTAAAAGAACTAGAGAAACAAGAGCAAACACATTCAAAAGCTAGCAGAAGGCAAGAAATAACTAAGATCAGAGCAGAACTGAAGGAAATAGAGACACAAAAAAACCCTTCAAAAAATCAATGAATCCAGGAGCTGTTTTTTTTAAAAGATCAACAAAATTGATAGACCGCTAGCAAGACTAATAAAGAAGAAAAGAGAGAAGAATGAAATAGATGAAATAAAGAATGATAAAGGGGATATCACCACCAAGCCCTCAGAAATACAAACTACCATTAGAGAATACTATAAAGACCTCTATGCCAATAAACAAGAAAATCTAGAAGAAATGGATAAATTCCTGGACACATACACCCTTCCAAGACTAAACCAGGAAGAAGTTAAATCCCTGAATAGAACAATAACAGGCTCTGAAATTGAGGCAATAATTAATAGCCTACCAACTAAAAAAAGTCCATGACCAGACAGATTCACAGCCGAATTCTACCAGAGGTACAAGGAGGAGCTGGTACCACTCCTTCTGAAACTATTGCAATCAATATAAAAAGAGGGAATCCTCCCTAACTCATTTTATGAGGCCAGCATCATCATGATACCAAAGCCTGGCAGAGACACAACAAAAAAAGAATTTTAGAACAATATCCCTGATGAACATCGATGCAAAAATCCTCAATAAAATACTGCCAAACCGAATCCAGCAGCACATCAAAAAACTTATCCACCATGATCAAGTGGGCTTCATCTCTGGGATGCAAGGCTGGTTCAACATATGAAAATCAATAAACGTAATCCAGCATATAAACAGAACAAAAGACAAAAACCACATGATTATCTCAATAGATGCAGAAAAGGCCTTTGACAAAACTCAATAGCCCTTCATGCTAAAAACTCTGAATAAATTAGGTATTGATGGGATGTATCTCAAAATAATAAAAGCTATTTATGACAAACCCACAGCCAATATCATACTGAATGGGCAAAAACTGGAAGTATTCCCTTTGAAAACTGGCAGAAGACAGAGATGCCCTCTCTCACCACTCTTATTCAACATACTGTTGGAAGTTCTGGCCAGGGTAATCAGGCAGGAGAAAGAAATAAAAGGCATTCAGTTAGGAAAAGAGGAAGTCAAACTGTCCCTGTTTGCAGATGACATGATTGTATATTTAGAAAACCTCATTGTCTCAGCCCCAAATCTCCTTAAGCTGATAGGCAACTTCAGCAAAGTCTCAGGATACAAAATCAATGTGCAAAAATCACAAGCATTCTTATACACCAATAACAGACAAACAGAGAGCCAAATCATGAGTGAACTCCCATTCACATTTGCTTCAAAGAGAATAAAATACCTAGGAATCCAACTTACAAGGGACATGAAGGACCTCTTCAAGGAGAATTACAAATCACTGCTCAACGAAATAAAAGAGGACACAAAGAAATGGAAGAATATTCCATGCTCATGGGTAGGAAGAATCAATATCTGAAAATGGCCATACTGATCAAGGTAATTTATAGATTCAATGCCATCCCCATCTAGCTACCAATGACTTTCTTCACAGAATTGGAAAAAACTACTTTAAAGTTCATATGGAATCAAAAAGAGCCCGCATTGCCAAGACAATCCTAAGCCAAAAGAACAAAGCTGGAGGCATCACACTACCTGACTTCAAACTATACTACAAGGCTACAGTAACCAAAACAGCATGCTACTGGTACCAAAACAGAGATATAGACCAATGGAACAGAACAGAGCCCTCAGAAATAATACCACACATCTACAACCATCTGATCTTTGACAAACCTGACAAAAACAAGAAATGGGGAATGGATTCCCTATTTAATAAATGGTGCTGGGAAAACTGGCTAGCCATATGTAGAAAGCTGAAACTGGATCCCTTCCTTACACCTTATGCAAAAATCAATTCAAGATGGATTAAAGACTTACATGTTAGACCTAAAACCATAAAAACCCTAGAAGAAAACCTAGGTAATACCATTCAGGACATAGGCATGGGCAAAGACTTCATGACGAAAACACCTAAAGCAGTGGCAACAAAAGCCAAAACTGACAAATGGCATCTAATTAAACTAAAGAGCTTCTGCACAGCAAAAGAAACTACCATCAGAGTGAACTGGCAACCTACAGAATGGGAGAAAATTTTTGCAATCTACCCATCTGACAAAGGGCTAATAACCAGAATCTACAAAGAACTCAAACAAATTCACAAGAAAAAATCAAACAACCCCATCAAAACGTGAGCAAAGTATATGAACAGACACTTTTCAAAAGAAGACATTTATGCAGGCAACAGACATGAAAAAATGCTCATCATCACTGGCCATCAGCGAAATGCATATCAAAACCACAATGAGATACCGTCTCACACCAGTTAGAATGGCGATCATTAAAAAGTCAGGAAACAACAGATGCTGGTGAGGATATGGAGAAATAGGAACACTTTTACACTGTTGGTGGGAGTGTAAACTAGTTCAACCATTGTGGAAGGCAGTGTGGTGATTCTTCAAGGATCTAGAACTAGAAACACCATTTGACCCAGCCATCCCATTACTAGGTATATACCCAAAGGATTATAAATCATGCTAGTATAAAGACACATGCAGATGTATGTTTATTGTGGCAGTATTCACAATAGCAAAGACTTCAAACCAGCCCAAATGTCCATCAATGATAGACTGGATTAAGAAAATATGGCACATATACATCAGGGAATACTATGTAGCCATAAAAAAGGATGAGTTCATGTCCTTTTTAGGGACATGGATGAAGCTGGAAACCATCATTCTGAGCAAACTATCACAAGAAGAGAAAACCAAACACCACATGTTCTCACTCATAGATGGGAATTGAACAATGAGAACACTTGGACACAGGGCTGGGAACATCACACACTGGGGCCTGTCATGGGGTGGAGGGATGGGGGAGGGATAGCATTAGGAGAAATACCTAATGTAAATGATGAGTTAATGTGTGCAGCAAACCAACATGGCACATGTATACATATGTAACAAACCTGCATATTGTGCACATGTACCCTAGAACTTAAAGTATAATAATAGTAATAAAAGCCAAAAAAAAGACTACTTTAAACAAAACATGATACTGGTACAAAAACAGACACATAGACCAATGGAACAGAACAGACAACCCAGAAATAAAGCCACACACCTACAGCCATCTGATCTTTGACAAAGTCAACAAAAAAAAAAAATGAGGAAAGGGCTCTCTATTCAATATATGGTTCTGGGGTAGCTGGCTAGTCATATGCAAAAGAATGAAAATGGGCCCATACCTTTCACCGTATGCAAAAAATAACTCAAGATAGATTAAAGATTTCAGTTTTAGAGTTATAAGATTCCTAGAAGAAAACCTGGAAAACACTATTTTGGATATCGGCCTTAAGACAGATTTCATGACAAAGATACCAACAGCAATTGTGACAAAAACAAACTTGACATGTAGGACCTAATAAAATCAAAAAGCTTCTTTATAGCAAAAAAAAAAAAAAAAAAGATTATCAGCAGAGTAAACAGATGGCCTAGAGAATGAAATAAAATATTTGCAAAGGTACGTCCAACAAAGGTCCAATATCCAGAGTCTATAAGAAATTGTTTTAAAATATACAAGCAAAAAACAAATAAACCCATTAAGAAGTGGACAAAGAACATGAGCAGACACTTCTGAAAAGAAGACATGCAAGCATCTCACAAACATGAAAAATGCTCAGTCTCACTAACCATTTGAGAAATGCAAATCTAAACCACAATGAGATAACATCTCTCACCAGTCAGAATGGCTATTATTAAAAAGTAAACAAAAACAAAACAAACAATTAAACAAAACGTGGTACTGTTGTTGAATCAAGTTTAGCCTAAAGCTGCCTCCTCACATATTTTATATTTGGCCTAAAGGGTTTTTTTTACATTGTGAACTATAACAAGTGGAGGTGTAACCTAGACCATAGCCTACACTTGTGCCAATTACCAATATTTGACCAATCAAATGTAGCCAACTATTTGAACTATGTTCAAATAAGGCAAATGCTGAGCTGTAACCAATCCAGACTTTTCTCTACCTCACTTTCATTTTCTGTACATCACTTTTCTTTTTCTGTTCATAAATCTTTCACCACGTGGCTGTGCTGGAGTCTCTGAGCCTACTCTGGCCCAGGCGGCTGCCTGATTCACAAATTGTTCATTACTCAATTAAACCATTAAACTAAATTCAGCTTGAAGTTTTGTTTTATCAGATGGCCTCGGAAGTGGGATCCGAAGTAGAACTTCTAAAGACCCGTAGGAGCACTGAGTGACCAACCGAGATACCCGTTAGATCCATTGTGTTTCTTGATCTCTCAGAGCAGCTGGGGAGCATGGTAAATTCTCAGATTCTGAAGTTCCATGGGTTTGTGTTTTGAGTTCTCCAAGTTTCTTTAAGCAAATTTCTGATCCAAACTGGGTTTGGAAGTCATGACAGAAACTAGACTGAGTCCAGGATTCGATTGGATCTGGTAATTAACTGTCTTGGGTCCAGTTAGAAGCCTCTTACATCTGACTGGGTCAGAAGGAAATTAGTAGTAAATGAAAATATTGTAGGAGGTGTACATTTTGGCTTTCAGACATTTGCAGGAATTTTTTTCCTCTACTCCTTTGTGGCTTAGTTGATCAAGGGAACCTGAGAGCAAAGCCAATACTTGAGGTAAAAATGAAATCCTTAATTTTTGAAGAAGAGAGTTCCTTCTGGCTTATACATACATAAGTATTGGGCCGTGGAAGCAACAGTCTTACAGAAATGATAAAATTTTACTAATCTTACTAACATAACTTACAGTGGAATGTTCCAAATGAACAACACTGCACTAAAGTATATTTGAAAATGAGAGCTCCCAAATTAGTCTCATCTAGGGATGCCTACTGATATGCAGAAAAGGAATTTTCAATATTTTTATTTAAAGGCTTTATGAAAGGGAAATAAAAATCTTAAGTGATTGATTAAAAAATTAAATCTGCTAACTTTTTGACTTAGTTATGATTGTGATCCAAAGGAAATAAACTGCCAACTTTGTGTATGTAGTGGTGTACATTTTACCTGGGTAAAGGATGGGATTGGGTTAGAGGCCATCTCCTCAGTAAAGTTCCTCTTAGTAAAAAATGGATTTGTCACTATTGAGATATTGACCATTATTCTCTTTAAATTAATTTGGCTTTCATTCTTTGGGTGGCTGTGGGTGACAGAATTAGGTATGTACAGTATAACTGGACATGGGGAGCTTCTTTCTCCCTAAGGGGAGAAATTTGAGAGCTGATGAGACTGCTGGAATAGATCCCTTATAATGACTGACAAGTAGCCACTTGAACTTTTAATTTTGTGTTGCTGCAATGAGTGGGTCTTTCTCTGGCCTCCATGAGCTCCTTGCCTTTCCTACACTGCTGCAAGCAATGCTTTTCTCCCTTCCTTTTTCTCCCTTCCCTTTTCTCTCTCTCTGTGCAAACTGGTTGTAGGAATGGCAAAAATTACTATCTCTTGCAAAGTTTAACTTAATGAGAAAAGTGAAGATAGTCTTAAGCTGTAGCAAACCTGGTGTATTTTGTGCTATGAATTTGTTTTTATTGTATCATTCTGTCATAAAGAGGGGTATCTTAGGATACAATGTGGGCCTAGGAGCTCCATAAGCTTGCTGTCAAGCCAGCACAGCAAACTGGTCAGCTACAAACTTTGCTGCAGGTCCCTGAAACAAAAAACTGGGTGAGTTTTTTCTTCATCTTTTTTTTTATGTCCTTGGGAGCTTGACTTGTAACCACCTAGCAATACTTTTTCTTGGTTTCTGCCATCCAGGGAACAGAAATTTGGCAGTACATTTCATAGTTAGCTCAAAAAATTATTTCGAGCAATTAAAAGCCATTGCAAGCTGAAAATTGGCTGCTCTAGATTCCTTGTTTTAAGAGCATTGGAAACTGCCCAGTACAATAGCTTAGTAGCTAAGGCTTTGTCTTTTCACAATGGTGGCCTGGCTTCAGGGTTCAGTTCCAGGCTTAAGAAATGAGTCCTTTCAATTCCTCAGGGATCTAGAACTAGAAATACCATTTGACCCGCCATCCCATTACTGGGTATATACCCAAAGGGTTATAAAACCTGCTGCTATAAAGACACATGCACACGTATGTTTATTGCAGCACTATTCACAATAGCAAAGACTTAGAACCAACCCAAATGTTCAACAATGATAGACTGGATTAAGAAAATGTGCACATATACACCATGGAGTACTATGCAGCCATAAAAAATGATGAGTTCATGTCCTTTGTAGGGACATGGATGAAGCTGGAAACCATAATTCTCAGCAAACTATCGCAAGGACAAAAATCCAAACACCGCATGTTCTCACTCATAAGTGGAAATTGAACAATGAGAACACATGGACACAGGAAGGGGAACATCACACACTGGGGCCTGTTGTGGGGTGGGGGGAGGGGGAGGGATAACATTAGAGATATACCTAATGTTAAATGATGAGTTAATGGGTGCAGCACACCAGCATGGCACATGTATACATATGTAACAAACCTGCACGTTGTGCACATGTACCCTAAAATTTAAAGTATAATAAAAAAAAGAAATGAGTCCTTTAATGATATAACACATACGTGACTTTTGCTATTTATTGATTCTCTTCTCCTCCATGAAAAACTTCTGAATTCACTTCTTGAATTTTACTTTCTCTGAGCACCTGAAAGGATACGTTTAGTGAAGTTCAAAAGCCAGACATATTTGCTGTTTGTTCAGGCTAGCATCTGGTAATAAATATTTGGTTAAAAGTTAGCTTAATTAAAAGCAGACAGATATTCAAGCTACAGGTATATTTAAAAGGTATTTATGGATTTTTATCTTCTTGAATCTTGTATTTTTGAAGTGTTTTTTCTTTTCAGTCAACTGAATTGTTTTTCTTTATTTTTTCTTCTTGTCACTTTTGATGCACACATAAGAGAACCTTAAATAACCTCTAACAGCTTGGGACTCCGTGGCAAAAACAGAGGAGGAGCCACTGACCCTGTTTTGGGAAAAACCTCTGTTTTAGTCATGAAACCCCAGGAACTGAAAACAGACAGATCTCTCTTAGAATCTAAGGCTAAACATACTTTTGGGGATAGCAAAGGGCAGTTGTGGAGGATACTTGGCTCTTTGCACATTTAAATCATAGAAGCATGCTCTTGGCCACCTAAAAAGAATGGAAATGTCCCCACCCCTCACTGAAATTAGACTCCCATGGGGGATGGGCTAATCACAGAATCAACTAATCAGCTTCGGGATGCTTTGCAATGCAAAGCAGTGATTTTACCATGAAACACACAAAATCATTGCACTGTCTTGCTCTATAACACTTCTCTTTTGGGGATGCAGGATCCAGCATAAAAATGGGACCCTGAATTTTTAGGGATCCAATCCAGCTGTACCTGTGTATTAGGCCTTAAAAACTGCATGCTTCAAAAAGAAATTCAAAAACTGGCAAATGAAAAAATCATACAACCATTAGATCTTCTTCTACATTTCTGTGTATTTATATGTGTTCTGTATGTGATGTTTATATATGAAAGATCTCTGATTAATTGGCTTAAAAATAATAAGTGCTTGAATCACATATTTTGTTATGAAAATAAAAATTGTTCAACTTTTGCTCCAAAAACCACTGCAGGGAGATACCAGGGAAATCTAAATAATTCACAGACCCTTTGAAAGAAGTGGTTTGCTGCTGCAAACTCCATGAGACAGCCAAAACCTGTGAGTGCCCAAAGTGTGATAGGAGAAAAGTCTGTCTCTGAACACACATCCTCAGTGAAGAACCTAAAAATCCAAATCAGAAGAGAAGGATTTAACCTTACCTAGAGCTGAAACAAATTTAGAGAGCTGAGGAAAATATAAAAGTAGAAGAAGCAGCAGAAGAAGCCCTGTAGGCACTCCTGAGCCCCAGGAAGCCATTTTTTACTTTATCTCACAGAGGCCCTTGGGAAGGGCTGCCAGTGGAATTAGAGAAGGACCACAGGAAGAAGGAAAACTCCAGCTGAATTTTGTAATAATTTTGACTGAGCATGATTTTTCCTGGGCAGAATCTGGGATGGGGGGAGGTGAATGGGATGTTCAGATATGAGCACAGAAGCTGCAGCAGTCTTCTAACCTGGGGCAAGATCTCAGTCTTGCTCACTTGCTGAATACATATAAACTCGGTGCTGTTGGTGGGACACAGTTGGAGTGAGACTGGCTTTGTTGGCTGCATGGGAGCTGGGTGAGGCCTGTCACTGCCAACTTTCACCACTTTACTGGTGACCTGTATGATAAAGCAGAGGCATATATAATCCCCTTGGGAACATAACACCATTAGCCTGAGAATCACACCCCTATTCTCACAGTGGCTGCAGCAAGCTCTGCCCCAAAAGAGTCTGAGCTCAGACATGCAGAACCTTGCCTCCTACGTGATACTCTTTCTCTATTCACCTTGGTAGCTGAAGATAAAAGACATAATCTCTTGGAAGCTCTGTGGCACCTGAGAAACCCAAACACTTATCCAGGCAACATTAGGGCAAGCTTGTATCCCCCTATACTACCATAGCTGATGCTGTCTTGAAAGTGCCACCTCCTGGCTGGAGGCCAAACAGCTAAAACCACTACAGCAACTCAGGAATGAACAACTCTACTCCAATAAATGAGAAAACAAGAGCTAATTTTACTTCCTGTAACATCCTGGCTAACTAGAGGTCCTGAGTCTCTTCATGTAACAACTTAACTGCATTTGAGAAAACCAGTGCACTAAACAAAACTACAACCAAGGACCCTCACAGACTCAACATCACTCCCTTGCTACCTCTATTGGAACAGGTGTTGGTATCTATGGCTGACAGACCTGAAGACAAATCACATCACAGGACTCTTTGTGGACACTCCCAAGGACCTGCCTGGAGCCCAGTAGCTCCACTGGGTGGCTAGACCTAGAAGAGCAATAACAAAAAGTGCAGTCCAGCTCTTGAAAGCCCCATCCCTAGGGGAAGAGGGAGAGTATGAAATCAAGGGATCACCCTGTGAAACAAAATAATGAGCAGAAGCCCTTGAGTCCAGGTCTTTTCTCTGACATAGTCTACCCAAATAAGAAGAAACCAGACAAACAGTTCTGGTAATATGACAAAACAACATTCTTAAACACCCCCATAAGATCATACTAGCTCACCAGAAATAAAATCAAATGAAGAAGAAATCTCTGAATTGCCAGAAACAAAAAAATTCAGAAGGCCAATTATTAAGCTACTCAAGGAGGCACCAGAAAAAGGTGGAAACCAGCTTAAATAAATTTAAAATATAATGCAAGATGTGGCCAAAAAAATCTCCAGAGAAATAAACAGCATACATAAGAAATAATCATAAAACTTCTGTAAATGAAAGACAAACTCATAGAAATGCAAAATATACTGGAAAGTTTCAACAATAGAATGTAAATAGTAGAAAACAGAACTTCAGAACTCAAATACGAGGCTATTGAATTAACCCAATCTTACAAAGACAAAGAAGAAAATGAATAAGAATAAAGTCTCCAAGAAGTTTAAGATTATGTTAAACTACCAAACGTAAGAATAATTGGTGTTCTGAAAAACAAGAAAAACCTAAACGTTTGGAAAACATATTTGAAGGGATAATTGAGAAAAGTTCTTTGGTCTTCCTAGAGATATAGATATCAAAATGCAAGAAGCTCCAAGAATACTGGTGAAATTCATCACTGAATGATCATCACCTAGGCACATAGTCATCAGGTTATCTAAAGGCAAGGCAAATGAAAGAATCTTGAGAGCTGTGAGGCAAGAGCTTCAGGTAATCTATAAATGAAAACTCATCAGATTAACAGCATATTTCTAAGCAGGAACCCCTCAAGCTAGAAGAAATTGGGGTCCTATTTTAGCCTCCATAAACAAAACTGTTATCAGCCAAGAATTTTGTATCCAGCAAAAGTCAGCTTCATAAATGAAAAAGAGATAATCATTTTCTCATGAACAAATACTGAGAGAATTCACCACTACCAAGCCAGCGCTAAAAGAACTGTTGAAAGCAGATCCAAATCTTTAAACCTCAAAATACACCAAAATAGAACCTCATTAAAGCATAAATCTCACAGGACCTATGAAACAAGAACCCAATGGAAAAATAAAGCATTGTATTCAGGCAACAACTAGCATGATGAATAAAATAGTACCTCACATCTTAATATTAATGCTGAATGAAATAGCCTAAATGCTCCACTTAAAAGATACAGGATGGCAGAATGGATAAGAATTAACCAACCAACTATCTGCTGTCTTCTAGAGACTCACCTGACACATAAGGACTCACATAAACTTAAGGTAAAGAGGTGGAAAAAGATATTCTATGCAAATGGACATCAAAAGTGAGCAGGAGTAGCTTTTCTTATATCAGACAAAACAGACTTTAACACAAAAACAGTAAAAAAGGCAAAGAGTAACATTATATAATGATAAAAAGACTAGTCCAACAGGAATATATGACAATCCTAAATATATATGCACCTAACACTGGAGCTCCGAAAGTTATAAAACAATTACTTCTAAACCTCAGAAGTGAGATAGACAGAAGCACAATAATAGTGGGGACTTCAGTACTCCACTGACAGCATTAGACATATCATCAAGACAGAAAGTCAACAAAGAAACAATGGACATAAGTGATGCCCTAGATCAAATGGACTTAACACATATTTACATAACATTCTACCCAAGAACTGCAGAATATACATTCTATTCATCAGCACATGGAGCATTCTCCAAGATAGACCATATGATAGGCCACAAAACAAGTCTCAATAAATTTAAGAAACTCAAAATTGTATCAAGTACTGTCTCAGACCACTGAAGAATAAAATTGAAAATCAACTCCCAAAGGAACCCTCAAAACCATGCACATACATAGAAATTAAATAATCTGCTTCTGAATGATCTTTGGTTCAACAATAAACTCAAGGTGGAATTAAAAATTTTTTGAACTGACCAATAGTAGTGACAGACATCTGCAGAAATGTCCACCCAAATTTAACAGAATATACGTACTTCTAATTGCCACATAGCACTTACTCTAAAATTCATGACATAATTGAAAGTAAAACACTCCTCAGAAAATGCAAAAGAACTGAAATCATAATGAATAGTTCTCAGACCGCAGTACAATCAAATAAAAACTCAAGGTGAAGAAATTTACTCAAAAACACACAGCTACATGAAAATTGAAGAACCTGCTCCTCAATGACTCTTGAGTAAACAATGAAGTTAAGGCAGAAATCAAGACATTCTCTAAAACTAATGAGAACAAAAAGACAATGTACTAGAATCTCTGGGACACAGCTAAAGCAATATTAAGAGGTAAATTTATATCACTAAATCATCACATCAAAAAGCTAGAAAGATCCAGAGTTAACAACCTAACATCTCAACTAAAAGAGCTAAAGAACCAAGAGAAAACAAACCCCAAAGCTATCAGAAGACAAGAAGTAAACAATATCACAGCTGAAGTGAAAGAGAAAGAGACACAAAAACCCTTCAAAAAGTCAATGAATCCAGGAGCTGGCTTTTTGAAAACAATAATAAAATAGACTGCTAACAAGACTAATATAGAAGAAAAGAGGAAAGAATAAAATAAACACAATCAGAAATGATAAATGGATAATTTCCAGGACACATACACCCTCCCAAGACTTAATGAGGAAGAAATTGAATCTCTGAATAGACCAATAATAAGTTCTGAAATTGAGGCAGTAATAAATAGCTTACAAACCAAAAACAAAACAAAATGAGGGACTCCTCCCTAACTCATTCTATGAGGCCAGCATCATCCTGATACCAAAACCTGGCAGAGATAAAAACAAAAACAAAAACAAAAACAAAAACAAAAACCTTCAGGTCAATATCCTTCATAAACATTGATGCAAAAATTCTCAATAAAATACTTGTAAACCAAATCCAGCAGCACATCAGAAAGCTTATCCACCACGATCAAGTTGGCTTCATCCCTGGGATCCATGGTTAGTTAAGCATACACAAATCAATAAATGTGATTCATCACATAAACAGAACTAAAGACAAAAACCACATGATTATCTCAGTAGATGCAGAAAAGGCCCTTGATAAAATTCAGCATCGCTTCATGTTAAAAATTCTCAATAAACTAGGTATTAAAGGAACATATCTCAAAATCATAAGCCATATATAACAAACCCATAGCAAGTGCCATACTGAATGGTAAAAAAACTGAAAGAATTCCCCTCGAAAACCAGCACAAGACAAGGATGCCCTCTCTCACCACTCCTATTCAGCATAGTATTGGAAGTTCTGGCCAGGGCAATCAGGCAGGAGTAAGAAAGCATATTCAAATAGGAAGGGAGGAAGTCAAATTATCTTTGTTTGTAGATGACGTGATTCTATATCTAGAAAACCTCACCATCTCAGCCCAAAAGTTTCTGGCTATTCAATGCTATTCCCATTAAACTACCACTGGCAATCTTCACAGAATTAGAAAAAACTATTTTAACATTCATATGGAACCAAAAATGAGCCTGAATAGCCAAGTCATTCCTAAGCAAAAAGAACAAAGCTAGAGGCATCATGCTCCCCGACTTCAAACTATACTATAAGGCTACAGTAACCAAAACAGCAAGGTACTGGTACAAAAACAGATGCACAGACCCATGTAACAGAATAGAGAACCCAGAAATAAGACCACACACCTACAACCGTCTGATCTTCAGCAAACTTGACAAAAATTAGCAATGAGGAAATGACTTTCCATATAATAAATGCTGCTGTGTGTGCTGGCTGGCTATATGCAGAAAATTAAAACTAGACCCATTTATTACACCACATACAAAAATTAACTCTAGTTGGATTAAAGACTTAAATGTAAACCCCCAAACCATTAATACCCTAGAAGAAAATCTAGGCAATATCATTTAGGACATAGGTATTGGTAAAGGTTTCATGATGAAAATGCCAAAAGCAATCACAACAAAATAAAAATTGACAAATAGGATCTAACTAAACTAAAGGGCTTCTGCACAGCAAAATAAACTGTCATCATAGTGAACAGACAGCCTTCAGAATGAGAGAAAATTTTTGCAATTTACCTATCGGATAAAGGTCTAATATCCAGAGTATACTAGAAATTTAAACAAATTTACAAGAAAAAAGTAAACAATCCCAATAAACTTGGGAAAATGAACAAACACTTTTCAAAAGAAGGTATACATTCATCCAAAAACATATGAAGAAAGCTCAACATCACTGATTATTAGATAAATGCATGTCAAAAACACAATGAGATACCCTCTCAAGCCAGTCAGAATGGCGATCTTTAAAAAGTAAAAAAAACAACAGACGCTGTTGAGATTGCAGAGAAAAAGGAATATTTTTACACTGTTGGTGAGAATGTAAATTAGTTCAACCATTGTGGAGGACAGTGTGGTGATTCTGCAAAGATGTAGAGACAGAAATACCATTTGACCCAGCCATCCTATTACTGGGTATATAACCAAATTAATATAAATTATTCTATGATAAAGATACATGAACATGTATGTTCACTGCAGCACTTTTCACAATAGCAAAGACATGGAATCAATCTAAATGCCCATGAATGGTAAACTGGATAAAGAAAATGTGGTCCAGATTCACTCTGAAATACTATGCAGTCATAAAAAGGAACAAGATCATTTATTTTGCAGGGACATAGATGGGGTTGGAAGCCTTGTTTCTCAGCAAACTAATGCAGAAACAGAAAACCAAACACCACATGTTCTCACTTATAAGTGGGAGCTGAATGATGAGAAAAATGGACATATGGGGGAAACAACACACACTGGGGCCTGTTGCAGGTGATTAGGGGAGGGAGAGTATCAGAAAAAATAGCTAATGGATGTTGGGCTTAATACCTAGGTGATAAAATGATCTGTACAGCAAACCACCATGGCACACATTTACCTGTGTAACAAACCTGCACATCCTGCACACATACCCCTAAACTTAAAATAAAAGTTAAGGGGCAAAAAAAAAAACCTGAAGGAGATGGATAAATTCCTGGAAATATACAACCCTCCTAGATTAAACCAGAAAAATACAGAAACTCTGAACAGACCAATAGCAAGCAGCAAGATTGAAATGGTAATTTTAAAATTGCCAACAAAAGTCCAGGGACAGATAGATTAACAGCTGAATTCAATCAGACATTCAAAGAAGAATTGATATGAATTCTGTTGAAACTATTCTAAAAGATAGAGAAAGACAGAATCCTCCCTAAATCATTCTATGAAGCCAGTATTTCCCTAATACAAAAACCAGGAAAGTACATAACAAAAAACAAAACTGCAGACCAATATCTCTGATGAACATAGATGTAAATATCCTCAAGAAAATACTAGCTTACCAAACCTAACAGCAGATGACAAAGACAATCCACCATGATCAAGGCCTTTTCATGGCAGTGATGCAGTGTTGGTTTAACATATGCAAGTCAAGAAATGTGATACACCACATAAACAGAATTAAAAACAAAAAATCCCATGATCATCTCAATAGAGGCAGAAAAAGCATTTGACAACATCTAGCATTGCTATATGATTAAAACCCTCACCAAAATCAGCATAGAAGGGGCATACCTTAAAGTAATAAATGCCATCTGTGACAAGCCCACAGCCAACATTATACTGACCATGGAAAAATTGAAAACATTCCCCCTAAGAACTGGAATAAGACAAGGATGCCCATGTTCAACACTTCTTTTCAACATAATACCAGAAGTCCTAGCCAGAGCAATCAGACAAGTGAAAGAAATAATGGACATCCAAACTGGTACGGAAAAGTCAAACTATTGCTCTTCACCAATGATAAAATCATATATGTAGAAAAACCTAAAGACTAATCCAAAAGCTCCTAGATCTGATAAATGAATTCAGTAAAGTTTCAGAATACAAAATCAATGCACACAAATTTAATAGAGCTGCTATGAACCAAACTGAGAATCAAATCAAGATCTCAGCCACTTTTACAATAGGTGTGAAAAAAATAAAATACTTAGAAATATACCAAACAAGGAGGTGAAAGACCTCTACAAGGAAAATTAGAAAATGCTGCTGAAAGAAATCATAGATGACACAATCAAATGGAAACACATCTCATGCTCAGGGATGGGTAGAATCAATATTGTGAAAAGGACTATACTTCCAAAAGCAATCTACAATTCAATGCAATTCCCATCAACATATCATCATCATCTTTCACAAAACTGGAAAAAACAATTCTAAAATTCGTATGGTGCCGAGACCAGCTTGGTCGTGGATACCCTTACCCAGTGGCGCTGGAGGAATTAAAGACACACACACAGAAATATAGAATGTGAAGTGGGAAATCAGGGGACTCACAGCCTTCAGAGCTGAGAGCCCCGAACAGAGTTTGATCCACATATTTATTGACAGCAAGCCAGTGATAAGCATTATTTCTATAGATTATAGATTAACTAAAAGCATTCCTTATGGGAAACAAAGGGATGGGCTCTGGCTAGTTATCTGCAGCACAAATATGTCCTTAAGGCACAGATTGCTCATGCTATTGTTTGTGGTTTAGGAATGCCTTTAAGCAGTTTTCTGCCCTGGGTGGGCCAGGTGTTCCTTGCCCTCATTCCAGTAAGCCAACAACTTTCAGCGTGGGCGTCATGGCCATCACAAACATGTCACAGTGCTGCAGAGATTTTGTTTATGACCAGTTTTGGGGCTACTTTATGGCCAGATTTGGGGGCTTATCCCCAACATATCCCCCTTTTATGTTTTGCAAAGCAATAAAAGCAAAGGCAGCTTTGTCATGGTGAACTATTTCTTGCAGGAGTCGGGATCCGCATCTACAGACTATACAAAGACAAACAACACAGATTAAAAACACAATCATCATTGAAATCACAGAGCCTCCAAGTGTCCTTATCTATTTTAATGGGTTAATAGCTGCTACTCTGTCTGCAGCTCCTTCAAGCACTCCAGTTCCTGGCATTAAGGTCAGGTGTGCCTGGGATGCTTTAAATATTTGTTCTTTTAATTTTGCAATATCCAAAGACAAGTTTGTGGAGTGTCCTTCTAGATGCTTTTTTATTATTTCCCAAATTTTGATCTTATTTAAGAGCCATTAATTGTTTCCACAAATCCTTATGTTTAACTCCTAGAGCGAGCCATATCATTTGAGGTTGAGGTGCCACTATACCACCATGTTTCCAGATAATAGGAACTCTTGCCATATTTCTAACCATTTCTACCATCTGACCATTCTGTTCAGACCAGCTGAACATAGTGTGGCCATGGCACACAGACTGAGAGGTGCAATTCAAGCTGAACATCCCCTTAGGGGACCAATCAATAATGATTCCATAGGAATCGTTGCACAGCACCTCTGCCTGTTCTGCAATGCAATTTTCCCAAACAAGTACATTCATTATTTCTGGCCAGGTCCAATTCTGCTTACAAATAGGTTTTTGAGGGCAGTATGCCTCAATTATAGGAGCAGATGTATTATGGTAAATACTGAGATCAGAAAGCATGTGTAACTGTGTCATAGAGTGATTACATCCAGGCATTATTGCCAGCCAAGATCGATAAATATGACCAATAAGTATAATTGTTCTCTGTGTCAGCCCTTGTTGAGGGAATACTCACAGCAGTGGTGATCACTGCTATTATGGCTATGATTAAATTACTCATGGTGACTGGTTGTCCTGCTTTCCTCAGGTTTTCTTCTGCTATCTGTGACAGCTTCTTGATCTGTCCGCAGGTAGTTGGCTGTGTTCAATAGGTGTTGCTTGTGACAGTTGGGGTCCTCCTCAGCATCAGTCTTGACATGGCTGCAACTGGGGGGTTCTCGGGTTCCTCCCAGAGTCTCTTATTTGGCATCTGGCTCATGATAAGGCTTTAGATGTCTTGATGGCACCCAAATTGGCTGTTGATTTGGTCCTGGAGAAACACAAGCATAACCTCTACCCCAAGTTATTAATTTACCTATTTCCCAACTTTTTGTTATCAGATCTCTCCACCAAACTAGTTATTCTGCTTCTGTCTTTGCAGCTTGTTTTTGTAGATGTTATTCAGTTGCTGATTGCATCTGGCGTTTAGACAGGCTCAAAAAATTTAAAGTCAATAATGCTACATTCAATTCCATATGGGGTGTCCCGTAGTCCCCAGTTTCCCCCTTTAGCTTTTGCAACTGCTGTTTTAGGGAGAGATTCATTCTTTCCACTATGGCTTGTCCTTGAGAATTATATGGGATACCACTAATGTGTTTAATATTCCATATAGAGATAAATGTAGCTAGAGCTTGACTAGTAGAGCCTGAGGCATTATTTGTTTTAATAGAAGTTGGAATGCCCACTACCACAAAACACTGCAAAAGGTGACATTTAACACAGGAAGAAGACTCTCCTTATTGGCATGTAGCCCAGACAAAGTGAGAAAAGGTGTCCACACATACATGTACATAAGCTAGTCTCCCAAATGAGGGAACATGTGTGACATTCATTTGCCAAAGAGAATTAGTTTCCAATCCTCGAGGATTAACTCCACCTGTAAAAGATGAGGAATACACCATTTGGCAAGTTGGACATTGCTGGATAATAGCTTTAGCTTCTTTCCAGGTAATGCTGTATCTGCGTTTGAGACCAGCGGCATTAACATGGGTTAAATTGTGAAAGTGTCTAGCATTAGATATTGCAGTAGCAACTAGGTGTTCAGCCACTTGATTCCCTTCAGTTAAAAGTCCTGGAAGAGGTTTATGAGCCCTAATGTGAGGGACGCAAAAAGGGTGCATTCTACTCCTGACTGCTGTTTGCAATTAGGTAAATAAAGTCATCAGTTGTTCATCTGTATGAAATCGTAACTGAACATTTTCAATTAATTGTGTGGAATGAACCACATATGATGAATCAGAAATCACATTAATAGTCATATTAAAAGCAGTCAATACCTCAATTACAGCTACAAGCTCTGCTTTCTGAGCAGAAGTATAGGGCATCTGAAAAATTTTACCTTTCAATTCAGAATAAGAAGCTTTA
Source organism: Homo sapiens (assembly GCF_000001405.40). Classification (NCBI taxonomy): domain Eukaryota; kingdom Metazoa; phylum Chordata; class Mammalia; order Primates; family Hominidae; genus Homo; species Homo sapiens. The sequence continues at coordinate 80,045,503 of NC_000023.11, read as the reverse complement.
CCATTACTAGACCCATCTGTGAAGACATTTTCAGCACCTTTAATTGGTTTAAATTTAGTTATTTTAGGGAGAATCCAATTAGTTAATTTCAAAAATTGAAACAGTTTCATTTTAGGAAAATGATTATCGAGAATAACCACAAAGTCAGCTAAATGGGTTTGCCAAGTAAGACTATTTATAAAAGCTTGCTGTATTTGTGCCTTCATGAGAGGGACAATAATTTTTCCAGGATAATATCCATGTAATTTAACAATCTGAGTTCTCCCATTTCCTATCATAGTAGCGATTTGATCCACATAAGGAGTTAGAGTCCGTGAATTAGTATGTGGAAGAAAAAGCCACTCTACAAGACCTTGCTCTTGAACAATAACACCAGTAGAATGCTGAGTTGAAAAAATTAGCAAATCTGGAATCTTCTCTGGATCTATTCTATTTATTTGAGCTTTATGGACTTGCTTTTCAATCAGCTGTAACTCTGCCTCAGCCTCCTTTGTTAATTGCCAATGGCTAGTGAGACTAGGATCTCCTCTAAGGATAGAAAATAGATTACTCATAGCATAGGTAGGAATGCCTAGAGCAGGTCATATCCAATTAATGTCCTCTAGTAATTTTTGAAAGTCATTTAATGTTTTCAATTGATAAGTCTGGAAAATTGTTGGACTGTTTAACAGGCAGTCCTAGCTGTAATGTCCCCATAGGTTGTATAACTGAATTAATGGCTCTTAAGTCAGTTAACATTCTCCATTTACCTGATTTTTTCTTAATCACGAAAACTGGATAATTCCAAGAGGAAAATGTTGGAGCTATGTGTCCTTTTCCTAATTGTTCAGTAACTAAGTTCTGTAAAACCTCCAGTTTCTCTTTACTCAGTGGCCATTGTTCTATCCAAATTGGCTTATCTGTTAACCATTTTAAAGGTATAGGTTCTGGAGGCTTAACAATGGCTGCTATCAAAAATGATATCTTAAACCTTGGTGGAAACTTTGTGTTTCCACTTGAAGCGTTCCTTCAAACCTTGCAAATTTTTTCCTAGTCCCGTACCAGGGACGTACCCTATTTCATGCATCATATGTTGACTCTGAGGGCTATATAATTGCTCTGGAATTAGAACTTTTGCTCCCCATTGCTGTAATAAATCTCTCCCCCATAAATTTATAGGTACAGAAGTTACAGTTGGTTGAATAGTCCCAGGTTGTCCCTCAGGCCCTTCACAATGAAAAATATAACTACTTTGATATACTTCAGGGGCTTTACCAACTCTAACTGTGTTAAATTGAGTGGGTTGAATTGGCCACATGGATGACCAGTGCTGTAGAGAAATGATTGAAATGTCCACTCCTGTATCTACCAAACCTTTAAATTTCTTTCCCTGAATAGTTATTTCACAGGTAGGACATTGATCAGTAATTTGATTCACCCAATAAGCTGCTTTGCTTTGTTTATTTGTGCTTCCGAATCCTCCTGCTCATTTAATTTCACTTTTCCCCATTTTCACATACGGCAAAATCAGAAGCTGTGCTATATGCTCTCCTGGCTCTGCTTCCAGGGAACAGAAGTAGATATAACAATTTGAGTTTCCCCATTGTAATCTGAATCAATGACTCCTGTTTGTACTTGCACTCCTTTTAAATTTAAACTAGATCTACCTAGAAGTAATCCTACTGTCCCCGCTGGCAACATCTGACTGGAGACAGCAACATTCTTTAACAGTCCCATTACAAAAGGAGAACCTGGTCCATATTGATTAATAGCTTGCTTAAATTTTTTGAGTAATTTAAAAGGAACAGGCTGAAATATAGCTGTAATATTTCTCTGTTGATCTGGGAGGTGTATTTCAACAGGGAACTGCCAAGCCTCTATATCACCCTCTCATCCAGCTTGCTGGATTCCTGACTGAATAGAACTGAGAGGGATCGCTCAAGGCAATGCTCGAACAGTCACTGGGGCAACTACTTTTCACCCAGTGTCCTCCAGAAAAGAAAGATCTGGAGGGTCAGGCCACTCCTTTTCTTCAAAATAATTAAGAGGTGCAGAAGGGTAGGGATGAACCTCTTTCTCCTTTGCTGCGTTAGCTTTAGCTGGCAAACAAACCTGCTCTGTCACCTCTTCTGTTACTTCGTTATACTTTGCTTCCTCCTCATTATTAGTGTGAAAAGGTTCCAAGGTGGAATGAACCAGAACCCACACTTGTCCCATTATTACCCTGATGCTTCCGAGCTCCCCTTCTTACTCACCATGGGGATTGCTTAAGGGTACTCTGGTGTCCTCCAGTTTAGTTCCACATTCTCCAACCATTGCTCTGGTGACCCTTCGACCCAGGTTTGAGCCCTACGCATGGGCACCACTTGCCGAGACCAGCTAGGTCGTGGAGACCCTAACCTAGCAGTGCTAGAGGAATTAAAGGCACACACACACACACACACACAAATATAGAGTGTGGAGTGGGAAATCAGGCGACTCACAGCCTTCAGACCTGAGAGCCCTGAACAGAGTTTGACCCACATATTTAATGACAGCAAGCCCATGATAAGTATTATTTCTATAGATTATAGATTAACTAAAAGTATTCTTTATGGGAAACAAAGGGATGGGCCGAAACAAAGGGATGGACTCTGGCTAGTTAGGAATATGTCCTTAAGGCAGGAACACGTCCTTAAGACACAGATCGCTCATGCTATTGTTTGCTGTTCAGGAACGCCTTTAAGTGGTTTTCAGCCCTGGGTGGGCCAGGTGTTCCTTGCCCTCATTCCACCGACAACCTTCAGCGTGGGCGTCATGGCCATCACGAACATGTCACAGCGCTGCAGATATTTTGTTTATGGCCAGTTTTGGGACCAGCTTATGGCCAGATTTCAGGCCTGTTCCCAACAATATGGAACCAAAAAAGAGCCTGCATAGCCAAATCAAGATTAAGCAAAAAGAACAAATCTGGAGGCAACACATTACCCAACATCAAACTATACTACAAGGCTATATTTACCAAAAGAGCATCATATGATACTGGAATAAAAACAGGCATGTAGACCTATGGAAGAGAATAGAGAGCAGAAAATTAAAACCAATCCTTACAACCAACTCGTCTTTGACAAAGCAAACAAAAGCATAAAGAGGGAAAAGACACCCTATAAGACACCCTATTCAACAAATGGTACTGGGATAATTGGCAAGCCACATGTAGAAGAATGAAACTGGATCCTCATCTCTCACCTTATACATAAATCAACTCAAGATGGGTCAAAGACTTAAATCTAAGACCTCAAACCATAAAAATTCTAGAAGGTAACATTGGAAAAACCCTTCTAGACATTGGCTTAGGCAAAGACTTCATGACCCAGAACCCAAAAGCAAAGGCAACAAAAACAAAGATAAATAAATAGATGGGAGTTAACTAAACTAAAAAGCTTCTGCACAACAACAGAAATAGTCAGCAGAGTAGACAACCCACAGAGTGGAAGAAAATCTTTATAAACTATGCATCCGACAAAGGACTAATATCCAAAATATACAAGGAACTCAAAGAAATCAGCATGAAAAAAAAATTATCATCAAAAAGTGGGCTAAGGACATGAATAGAGAATTCTCAAAAGATGATATACAAATGGCCAACAAGCATATGAAAAAGTGCTGAACATTATTAATTATCAGGGCAATGCAAATCAAAACCACAATGCAATAACAACTTATTCTTGCAAGAATGGCCACAATTAAAAAAAAATAGATGTTGGTGTGGATGTTGTAAAAGGGAACACTTTAACACTGCTGGTGGGAGTGCAAACTATATATAAATATATATAACTATATATATATACACATAACTATATACATACATAACTATATATACATAACTATATATACACATAACTATATATATATATATATATATATATATACACGCACACACACACACACACACCGTGGAATACTACTCAGCCATATAAATGAATAAAATAATGGCATTCACAGCAACCTGGATGGAGTTGGAGACCATTATTCTAAGTGAAGTAACTCAGGAATGGAAAACTAAATATTGTATGTTCTCACTTATAAGTTGGAGGTAAGCTATAAGAAAGCAAAGGCATAGAGTGATACAATGGACTTTCAGGATTGGGGGGAAGGGTGGGAGGAGATGACGGATAAAAGACTATACATTGGGTACAATGGACACTCCTCGAGTGATGGGTGCATCAATATCTCAGAAATCACCATTAAAGAACATATCCCTGTATCCAAACACCACCTGTTTCCCCAAAACCTATTGAAATAAAAAAAATTGTACAATTTACCTGCTTCAGAGCCATTAGATTCTATGTAAGGCCTGGGGATATGTGGAGTTAGTTAGCCATACCCCCTGGTCATGTTGGAAAGAGTCAGACTTTATTTGCACTTCTGTCAGGAGTCCTAGGCTCCACAACTAGTACATAATTAAAGTCACCACGTTTTTTACCAAGAATAAAAATTGCTAGTTAACATTGTCAAATGTAATTAAAACTACTTAAAAAACAGTTTTACATGTAAGGTATGTGAGAAAAGTAAGATGTGCTTTTAGTAAAAGATTGTAAGAAGGCATGGGAATTTAAATTTTTGCCTAGTTTAAACTGTTAAAGAATTATTTAAAATTAGATAAAATAAAGCTAAAAGTTTGAGCAAGTTGTAGAAGATTTGCGAAAAAGTAATCTTGTAAAAAATTATGTGTGTGAACATATTGGCTAAATTTAAAGGGGTATTACTCAGTTTTTCTGTAAATTGAACATTGGAATATAAGCATAACAGGGTTTTCTTAGAGCACTGATCTGGTCTTTAACAAAAATTTGCAAATGGTTATAAATAAAATATTTATGGAAATCTCACCTTATGCTCAAACTAATTAAGATTGGATAGATTTGTCTATAAGGTTTTATTAAAAATTGGGGTTAACATTAACGGTACACTAATGCAATAATGAAATTTGGCTTTCTCTCTTGAACAAGATTTTTATGTAATATTAAAGAATAATAAAATATTTTTATTTGCCTTTAAATAAGCTGCAGGTAAAATAGGGGAAAGAAAAGAGACAATTTGCTTGAAAAGCTAAGTGTTCCCTCTATAGAGTAAAGATTTTTTCTTTTTAAAAATTTTTGAGTCATCATTTTGGCTAAATAAATAACTTATGGTGACCTGAAATTCTATTTTATAATATTAAGGGTTTTAAATCTTTATCATATTTAACAGGCTTCCTCAAATCAAATTTCAGCTTCATTGTCTTTTTTAACCTCTCATTTTTGGGTGCTACAGGGGGCCCCTACAGCATCCCAAAGAGAGGTAAACAAGATTATTTGACATGTTAAGTTACATGGGAAACACTGTCAAAATAAAAAAAGTTTAAAGTCCTTCAGGTTATATTTTAGTGAGAAACATTAATATATGTTCCAAAATTATATGAGATTTCTGGAATTCTAATATGTCTGAGTATATGCTATCAATCATAATTATGGTTATTAAGTTATTGTATACCACAGAAATAACCAAATTTGTTTGTCAATTGTGTCTTTCACTATAACTATTTAAAGTCATTTCCACAGTTAATTACTTAATTCTGATGCAGTTTCTGAAATCTTTACAAGTACCCAAGATCCTAGGAGGTTCATGAAAGAATGGAAAGGACCCTGAAAAGCACTCTTGAATACAGGTTTCTGGTAATTTAAAAATCGTATCATCTGGACTGGGTAAGAATTCCTAGAACTTTAATGAGAAGACTGGTTTATAAAACAGCTAACCCAAGAACAAAAATTAATTAAATACCAAGAAAATACTTTGCCAGATTTTCTTGATATATTGGCTGATACTGAAATTGTTTAAATACGCAATTTAAATGAACTCCATGGTCTAAGTCAAATAACCTACAATAACCTATCAGTTATCAGTCCTATACACTTAAATTGGAGAGACACCTGGTACTCAAGAAGACATAATCTCAATGTTAAGCATAGACTCATCGACAACCAGAACAGCCACCTTGTCCTTCCTGACTCCTTAAAGTTTTGTTATTAAATGTTCTGCATTTCATGACTCATCATGGAAAAAAATAAAATGATCCAAAATAAATATATGTGGGTGTTATAAATTTCTATATTGTTGAAATAGTTTATCTCCAATGTTTGGTGTGGCAAACCCATATTCCTGGGAAGAGAGTCAAAACTTCAGGTATAGTCAACTACCTGATGTGCCATTTAAACATGTATAGAGGGATTTCATTCAATTATCATTTTCAATGCATGTTTTCTGGTTGTATAAAAGTTTTCCCATGTAAGAGAGCTGATGTTATAACAGTAGATTATTATGCCACAGTGTATTTTCACCAAGTAAAAAAAAAATAGTATTTTATGGTTCACTTACTGAGGACAATTAATCCCTTCACAATCTAAAACCTAAAGATCGAATCTTCTAAGAACATCAGGGAAAGACTGCCCTTGCCATCCACACTACAGCAAAACTTTGGGACCTTAAACTTTGGGTGTATAATCTCACTACCGAGAAGGCCCCCTCCACACTCTTGGAATGGTACACCCATTGGAAACCTTAAGGTAAAGCTAATCAGGGAAGTTCCTCCCCAGAAGAAGATGACATTCTTTATATGAACAGTTTTTTCCAGAATCATAGATCAAGACTTCTCTACTATCATGAGACCCTTATCTTTGAAAATTTTCTCCCTTTCTTATGCCTCTATAAACAATAGAAGTGAAAGGGGGGTGTGTTATGTGCACTCATTGAGTATACTTTTATTTGTAAAGAATTTTGCAGCCAGTCTTATATGTGGATAACTTTGTATCTTAATTCATAAAAGATAAAGGCCCAATGTAGGTAAGAAACTTTAATGGTACATACATTACCTAATAATCAGTCAAAAACAGAACATTGGTTCATTTCCATTAACCCTATCATGGGTTAAAAAGAACATTGCCAGGAGGTCTTGACTTTCCTAAAAGGGCATCATTTGTTAGTTTGTTTTTTTTCCCCATGGTTGGAGTAGAAGAGTCAATAATTAGAAATGTGTTCCTCACAACAGGTGCTATAGCAGATTCCACTGTAAAGGCTATGGTTACACAACAAACTTTAAATTCTCTTGTGAAAGTTATGCTAGAATTGCTGTGGATTACTTACTGGCTAGACAAAATTATCTGTGCAGCTGCTGGCACTTGTGGCCTATGGAGAAATATATCAAATGTAA